>NC_000021.9:45314920-45468816 GCF_000001405.40 Homo sapiens
ACACAAGCAGATGGAAAAACATTCCACGCTCATGGATAGAAAGAATCAATGTTATGAAAATGGCCATACTGCTCAAAGCAATTTATAGATTCAATGCTATTCCCATTAAACTACCATTGACATTCTTCACAGAATTAGAAAAAACTATTTAAAAATCCATACGGAACCAAAAAAGAGCTCTCATAGCTAAGACAATCTTAAGCAAAAATAACAAAGCTGGAGGCATCATGCTACCTGACTTCAAAATATACTACAAGGCCACAGTAACCAAAACAGCATGGTACTGGTACAAAAACAGACACATAGACCAATGGAACAGAATAGAGAACTCAGAAATAACACCATATGTCTACAACCATCTGGTCTTCGACAAGCCAAACAAAAACACGCAATGGGGAAAGGATTTCCTAGTTAATAAATGGTGCTGGGAGAACTGGCTAGCCATATGCAGAAAATTGAAACTGGACACCTTCCTTACACCTTATGCAAAAATTAACTCAAAGTGGATTAAAGCCTTAAATGTAAAACCCAAAACTATAAAAACCCTAGAAGAAAATCTAGGCAATGCCATTCAGGACATGGGCACAGGCAAAGATTTTATGATGAAAATGCCAAAAGCAATGGCAACAAAAGCAAAAACTGACAAATGGGATCTAAATAAACTAAAGAGCTTCTGCACAGCAAACGAAACTATCATTAGAGTGAACAGACAACCTACAGAATGGGAGAACATTTTTTGCAATCTGTTTGTCTGACAAAGGTTTAACACTTAGAATCTACAAGGAACTTAAGCAAATTTACAAGAGAAAAACAAACAACCCCATTAAAAAGTGCACAAAGGATATGAACAGACACTTCTCAAAAAAAGACATACATGCAGCCAACAAATGCATGAAAAAAGGCTTAACATCGCTGGTCATTAGAGAAATGCAAATCAAAACCACAATGAGTTCTCATGCCAGTCAGAATGGTAATTATGAAAAAGTCAGGAAACAGCACATGCTGGCAAGGCTGTGGAGAAATAGGAACACTTTTACACTGCCGGTGGGAATGTAAATTAGTTCAACCATTGTGGAAGACAGTGTGGTGATTCCTCCAAGATTGAGAACCAGAAATACCATTTGAGAAGCTATCCCATAACTGGGTATATACCCAAAGGAATATAAATTATTATAAAGATACATGCACACGTATGTTCACTGCAGCACTATTCACAATAGCAAAGACATGGAATCAACCCAAATGCCCATCAGTGATAGACTGGATAAAGAAAATGTGGTACATATAGACCATGGAATACTATGCAGCTATAAAAAGGAACGAGATCACGTCCTTTGCAGGGACATGGATGAAGCTGAAAGCCATTATCCTCTGCAAACTAACAAAGGAACAGAAAACCAAACACCGCATGTTCACTTATAAGTGGGAGCTGAACAATGAAAACATACGGACACAGGGTGGAGAACAACACACACCAGGTCCTGTTGGGGGAGGGTGGGGGTGGAGAGCATTAGGGAAAAGAGCTAATGTGTGCTGGGCTTCATACCTAGGTGATGGGTTGATAGGTGCGGCAAACCACCATGGGACATGTTTACCCATGTAACACACCTGCACATATACACCGGAACTTAAAAAGATATTAGAGGAGAACACGGACCTTAGAATAGCAACTCTCCCAAACAAAGACGCAGCCCCACGTGGAGCAGAGGAGGAGAAGATAAAGTGGACTGCAGCAGAAGCTAACACAACTTTATCACCAAAGACCCCAGAAACCAAGTCAGAAGGCCAGTGGTGGACATGGGAATGATAGATGCTAAAGAATGCTCAGCTTATAGTAGCCAGAGAAAATCCTGGCAAAGGTGGAAAGTGTGAAGGCACCAGGCATCAGTGGCACGCGAGTGTGATCTCCGGAGGCGGGGGAGGTGGGGGAGGCCGGGGCGTGAGGGGCTGTGGTTATCAAAGGGAACCGGCTCTCTTAGGGGGGCTCTTTTACTTTCTCTGTTACTCAGAGCAGGGACCAGCCAGCTCTGTCGAGGCCTGGAAAGTAATGGATTTAAGCTTTGCGGCCACATGGTCCGTGCACCCACTCTGCTCTGTCCATGTTTTTCTTTGTATTTTTCTCCAAGCATTTAAACACGTGCAAACCATCCTTAGCCCAAATGCAGCCAAAAGCTCCTGTGGGTGGAGTTTACTGTCTTACGCCCGGGAGCGGCTCAAAGTGTGCCCCAACCAGCAGCCTGGGCACCCTTGGTGCTGTAGGAATGCAGGTGCCCTGGCCCACCCGGACCCTGGTGTGGGGGGGGGGCCCACCCAGGCCTCTAAGAAGCCGTCTAAGGGTGCCGCCCAGGTCTTTGAGAAGGGCAGCCTTGGCCAAATGGTCATACCTGTACACGGGCCGGGCCGCACGACTTCTTTAGAGCTGGGGCCAATGGAAGCCCCCTGAGTGCTCCTCAACAGGGGCCTGGAACCCCGGCTCTTGTTAAAATGCAGATTCTGACTCAGCAGGTCTGGGCTGGAGCCTGGGACTCTGCATTTCTACCCAGCGCCCAGGGGTGCCCAGGCTGCTTCTGGGACCTCACTTCCTGGCCGTGGTACCTTCACAGCACCAGCCACTAGCGTGGAACTTGCACTGCAGCTTCCGACAGCTGCAGAAATGGGCATGTAGGTGGGGTGGGGGCTGGGACCTGAGCTTGTTGTCTGTCCCTCCCTTTCTCACTGGGGCATTGAGGACACACATGAAAGAGGCGAGGGGGCGAGAAACAATGCTGGCATCTCCATCCTGGGAAGAGGCTGGGAAGAGTGACTCAGTCACAAAAAATAAACAACACCAGCTTTTGTCTTAGAAATTCACCCTGTTTGACTTCATGGATTCCCATCGGTCTGCAAGGACCCGGGTTAGCCTGGGATCCTCTTCTGTGGCTTTGGTGAGCAGATCCCCACTCCGCCTCCTCTTAGGACGCCTAGTCCTGCCGTGATTGGCCTTGGGGGCCCGGGGGTGACCTCAAGTGTCCCCAGCCAGGCCGCCCACCCCAATCTCAAGAAGAAACAGGGTGGGAGGAAGCAGGGCAATCTCAGCACCCATGGCAGAGGAGGCCACGGTGGAGGAGGCCACGCCTGGCTCAGCCTGGAGTTGGGGACGTGAGGAGGGGCTGAGACGGTCACCCCAAGACCCCCACTTCAGGCCAGCTCAGAGGGTCCAGGGTGGGGGTACTTGGGAGAAGGCTTGTGAGGGGGTCCCTGTGGCCTTCAGGGAATCCCACCCCATTTGGATGTTACCTCCAGGCTGGTCCTAGGGGCTGGGCACCCACAGGCCAGAGGCCAAGGAACCAGGAAGTGCCCCCCGACATGCGCTTGGGGAGCCCCAAGCTCCTCCACTCATGAAAAATCGAACCCCCCCACCACCTCCAGGTCAGTCACCGTCTCCAGGACGTGGGTGGCTGCCCCCACTCCTCTGGCCCCCACTTCTCTGGCTGAGAAACTCCACGTGCACCACCCCAGGGGCTTCAGGCTCCTCCAGAGGGGCTCCATTCCCCTTCCTGCCCCGTCCCCTGATGTTCCTTCCCCACCAAGCCCTGGGCCATCTTCCCACAGCCTGGGACTAGCCTTCTGGTCACCTGCAGTGGCTGCCAGGTGGGCTGGGGTGGGGGCTGTCCCTGGGTGCCCAGGCCTCTCGGGGACCCCTGCATGCACTGGGCATGACATGGAGGGTGCCTTTCCCCACCCAGGGCCCAATGAACCTGGAGGTCACAGCCCCGACCCCGGCCCAGCTCCAGGGTGAGGCCGGGCCCCTCTGGAGCCCCACTCTGGCCTCCTCTCCTGCCCCCACCCCCATCCTGCCCCTTCCTGCCCTGGCCCTGTGTCTATCTGCTCTGCAGGCCGTGCTCTGGGAGCCTTGAGGCCCTGCGTCCACCCCCTGGCAGTTCTTCTAGGCTGGGCTCCAGGATTGGGGCCTGTTACCTGGAGGTGGACTGGCCTCCCTGCTGTCAGGCAGGGCCATTGGGATGGGCGTGGTCACAACTGCTGCAGACCTGGGTCTGGGAGGACAAGCGCCTTCCTTCCCAGCGGCGAGGTTTTCCATGACTCACTTCAGAGCCAGGCCAAGGTCAAAGGGCACCGGACGCCGGTCCCTCCTCAGGCAGAGGGAGACAGGAAGGGACACCCAGGCCCCAAGGGGGAAGGGCTGCTGCAGTCGGGACAGGGAGCATGTGTGAGCGTGAGTGAGGGCGTGAGGCCTGTGTGCAGGCAGCAGGTCAGGTGGACAGGCCGGAGGAATGGCCCTGACTCCACAGGGACCCCACCAGACAGCTGATTGGCAATGCCGAGAGATGCTGTGCTGCTGGTCCTTCCTGCAGGGTCGTGGAGGAGCTCGGCCACTTGTGAAGCTGGACGGGAGAGGACAGTGGTGGCAGCCAGACCGGACTCACATGTATTCCATCAACACAGTTGAAATGTTTTATGACCGCATGGCAGTATGTTCGGGTGAGGGTCCTGTATGTTTTACACGACACATGTTTAAACGGCATTCTGTGAGCCCAGAGGCTTTGCCTGCCGGCCAGCAAGGTGCAGTAGAAAAGGTTGAGGGTCCTAGTCTGGTCCCGTGTGGGCACTGCCTGACCAGGTGGGGTCAGCACCAGGATGAGAGCCCCAGCCTGCACCTGCCAGCCGCGGTGCCACGTCCTTCCTCCACTTCCCTTCCCGCAGCCCTGGGAAACCCCAGCCCAGTGGGCTGGCAGGAAGGAGGCCGGTGTGCATGTGCCTGACTGGCCCCTGGTTGGCGCCAGGCACTCTCTGCAGGACCCTGGCGCCAGCCCGTCGGAAGACAAAGCCTGGAGGCTATTCTTGGAGCATGTGTCACAACCCCAGGAGCGCCTTATAAGGCTCTGTCCAGGCTCAAGATGCTCTCTGAGCGCCAGGGTCTGCCCTGACAATGGCCTGCAGCTGGACGTGGGGCCACACGGCCACCTGGCTGCTCCTGGCCCGTTTCGCCCTGGGGTCCAGACTCCCTCCTGTTTCCTGTGAGTCTCCCCTAAGATTTGAAGGAATTTGACCAACACCTTGGCCTGGGGGGACCTGGGAGAGAAGAGGGGGATGGAGCTCAGAGCTGGCCCTCGGCAGCCTTACATGGTGATCGTCTGGTCCCGCTAAGCCGCGCCTTGGAGGCTCTGCTGTGGGAGCCTAGCAAGTGTTTATTTTTAGAAGCTCTTACTCCAACACCAGGGCTGGGCCCAAATAACACATGTATTTTAGTGGTTCAAAAATACAAGTTTATGGTAAGTCATTCGATGTGGAGAAAGTGCCAAACCAGTGAGTGCAGTGAGAGGTTTCCTGGGGCCACGGGCCTCCTCCTGCAGGTGGCCCAGGTGCACTTGACTAGCTGGAGCGTGTGGCTATAATCCCAGGAAATGTATCCCTCCTCTCGGAGGGACTCGGGCTCAGGAGCACACACTGAAGATGGGAGGCCAGGACCCAGAGTGTGACCGTCCTGGCCCTAGGAGGGCAGGGCAGCCTTTGGTTTGCTATCAGAGCCTCGAGGCCTGGCACTGAGCCCGGCGTCCCCTGGAGCTCCCTGCTGCATTGGATCAGCAGCTGGCAGACAGGTGGGCCAGCGGGCCGAGTTTTCCCCAGGACTGGGTGAAGGAGGCATTGCTAGGAAGTCCCCAGATGCAGCAGGCACCCAGAACAGCCGGCCCTCCCTGTCCTGGGAGAGGCATCTACCCCACTGGAGGCTGAGCCCTCGCCCCACCACCGTGGCCCCTGCTCCACATCACCATCACCAGTGGCTTGTTAGAGATGCGGATGGACCCTCAGTCCCCATCACACGGGTGGTGGATCTCATAAAACCTCCCAGACCAGGCTCTGCAGCTGCGGGGCTCAGCTGGTGGCTCTCGCTCAGGGACTCCTGAAGGGCACCCAAGTGGCTCAGCGCAGGGAGGGCAGGAAGGGCAGGCGGCTGGGGTGGGGCTCAGCTTGGGCTGTTGGCTGAGGCCACCCCACGTGGCCACACTGGGGCTTTGCAGAGCCGGCAGCAGCTGGGATCCGAGGGGGAGCATCCCCAGAGACCCAGGCGGGTGCTGCCAGGCCCCTTAAGATGTAACCCTGGGAACCCCAGAAAGTCTGTCTCACTTCTGCTGGTTGAGCAAGTCAGATTTGAGGAGACGGGACTCAGACGCCGTGTGTGGGTGGGGAGTCATGGCCCCCTGGTGTGTGGATGGGGAGTCATGGCCCCCTCGTGTGTGGGTGGGGGCTCAGGGTCCCCTCGTGTGTGGGTGGGGGTCAGGGTCCCCTCGTGTGCATCCTGGGGTCAGGGTCCCCTCGTGTGTGGGTGGGGGTCAGGGTCCCCTCGTGTGCATCCTGGGGTCAGGGTCCCCTCATGTGTGGGTGGGGATCAAGGTCCCCTCATGTGTACGTGGGGGGTCAGGGTCCCCTCATGTGCATCCTGGGGTCAGGGTCCCCTCGTGTGCATCCTGGGGTTGCACCTCCAGAACCCACATCTGCACTTAGTCAGATTCTGGCTTCTCTGTGGCTCATTGAAGGGGGAGAAGTCGGGGGGCTGGTTTCGGGGGAAGCTCACGCCCCTGCTGAGCCTCAGGCGGTGGCCAAGGTCCTGCCCACAGGCCAGCCGGGGAGCGGGCAGGCGGACCAGGGGTCAGCA
Source organism: Homo sapiens (assembly GCF_000001405.40). NCBI lineage: Eukaryota > Metazoa > Chordata > Mammalia > Primates > Hominidae > Homo > Homo sapiens. The sequence goes on from NC_000021.9 coordinate 45,321,573, forward strand.
AACTGCTCTGTAATGAGCCAGAGAATGAATATTTTAGGCTTTTTTTGGCCAGTCACAACTCAACTCTGCCACTGTGGATTCTAACCTCATGGCATCTGTGTCACACAAGGCGATGTCTGCCGATTCCTGAGGTTAGGACGGAGACACCCTAGGGGGCCTGGTTCAGCCACCACAGCCACCTCCAAATAACGCTCTGGGGTAGCGGGGGCTGGACGACGGAGCCTCCCATCCCCATCCCGCCCCATAACGACATCACTGTCCCATTACTTATCCCCACGCCATGACCACCCAGCACAATTAGGAATCGGAAAACGGGCCAGGCGCCGTGGCTCATGCCTGTAATCCCAGCACTTTGGGAGGCTGAGGCGGGTGGATCACCTGAGGTCAGGAGTTTGAGACCACCATGGCCAAATGGTGAAACCCCATCTCTGCTAAAAAATGCAAAAATTAGCTGGGTGTGGTGGTGGGTGCCTGTAATCCCAGCTACTCGGGAGGCTGAGGCACGAGAATCTCTTGAACCTGAGAGGCAGAGGTTGTGACGAGCAGAGATTGAGCCACTGTACTCCAGCCTAGGTGACGGAACAAGACTCTGTCCCCCCTCCCCGCCCCCCAAAAAGGGTAAGAAAGCAGAAGGCTCTCTCTGTCCTTCCTTTCCCCTTCTCTGACACTCCTCCTTGCTGTGGACCTGAGTTTCTGACCTGTCCCATGCCGGCAGCCCCAACAAGGCGGCCAGACCTCAGCCCCAGCCTGGCTCTGAGAGCCACACTTCCTAGCGGGCAAGGAGGGCTGTTGGCCGAGGCAGGCTGGCTCCTGGGACAGAGGGTCTCCTGGGACGGCCCCTTCCTGCACCTGCCTACCCCATCCTGCACGCTCTTCCCTCTACGGCTTCTGAAGAGCTAGATCTGGGGTATGTCTGGTGTAAACAGGATAGAGTTGGGTTTTGCTGGGTGAGCCCATACAGCCACTTTTATCTTCACGGGTGAGTGGAAGCTGACGGGGCCACACCAGCTCAGCCGCGCTGTTCTGTTTACTGTGGTCTCTCCCTGAATGGCCGCTTTGGCTTTTTGAATTCATTTATGCAGATTTGTACGTTTCCTCACGGCTCATTTGTGCTCATATGTATGATATTTGTGCGTACACAACACCCACCTCCTCTTCCTCACGTGGGTTCTCCTGTCCCAGCCCCGCCCTCCTCTTCCTCGCGTGGGTTCTGCCCTCCCGGTCCCGCCCCTCCTCCCCCTGCTCCGTGTTTAGTCCTCAGGTCAAGGTCACGGACCAGACCCTGTCCCCTGAACCCACCCTCCCCTCAGGCAGGGACTGGACTCTTCGGATCTCTGTGTGGTGCTCTCTGCTCATGGCAGTCCCTCTGATGCCACCTCTGGGCTGGCCGAGCCTCACAGCATCTGGCGGTGCCCCAGGATGGAGTCGGGGGCAGGGCCCGAGTTCCCCCTTGCTGAGCTGTTTCCCAATCCCTGAGGCGTTCAGGACAGCGTGGGGGGAAAGCCACGCCCACCGTCTCGCCTCCACCCAGGTCCTGTCCTGCACGGGGCTCTCGGGAGGCCTCAGCATTCTCCTTGAAGATGCCCAAACTTTACCAACCCCTGTGCCCAGCCCTGGCCCACACCCACGGAAGCAGGGAACTGACCCCATCCCAGCCAGAGCGGGTACTCCAGGCGGGCCCAGAACCTGGAGCTGGTGCCACCAAACTCGCATGAAGAGTCTGGCTGTCTGTCAGGAGGAGGCGTCTGGGCGCCCCCTGATGCCAGGACGGCTCTGCCCATTGTCTGCGTCCCTGACTCGAGAGCTTGAGCCCGGGGTGGGCCTCCAGAGGCTGGTGCTCTGTGCCAGCCATACGGGCACCCATGTAGCTGCCCCTCTGTCTTCTTGCCAAGCTCGGGACCCTCCCCACCTGGGACAAAGTCACCTCCAACCTCTGCGCTTCACTCATCAAAATCACCTCTGCTTAATAAACCTTGAAGGTCTCAGGTGCTGCCGGCATGGGAGGCTCCTGCCTGCAGGCCTGGGGCCAGGCCCTGGAAAGCGCTTAGGGAGGGCTGGGCTGGCAGCTGCACAAGGGCAGCCTCGTGGGATGCTGGTCAAGCAGAAAATCCCCAGGGATGTGAGCTGGTTTTTTGTGGGAACTCTGAAAGTGAAAACATCAACTCCCCGAACTGGGAGGCCACCAGCCCCAGAGGGCCCTCCCCAAGCCCCCGCGGGGTCCCAGCCAGGGCCATGGATGTGGGCAGGCCTACAGCTCACTGGCCAGCTCCCCTCTGCTTCCTCCCGGGCCACAGCATTCCTGGGGCCACCAGGGTCTCATTGTCCCTCACCTGGCCAGGGTCTCCGTGCCCCTCACCTCCTCTTTGCTGGAACATTCCACACATTCCTTCCCCCGACAGGGCAGGGTTCCTGGGCTGAGGCTGGGGCAGGTGTGCTGGGCCTGGAGCTCTCCCTAAGGTCTCCAGCTGATGTGGGCTCCTGGGATCTGCACCGTCTCCCCTGGGCCACCCTCGCTGGGCTCATCCTAAAGAAGCCTCCTCCGCCTGCCCCTCCTCCCTCCCAACCCTCAGCCTCCCCACCCCCCGGCACCCACCATGAGCTGAGCCTGCTGTGAGGAGGGGGGCAGCCCCAGGACCCCACACAGGTGGGGCTCAGCAGCTTCCAGTGAGAAACCCATGCAAACTGCCTGGGGAGTTCCGGCAGCGATGGGAAAAGGCACTGTCCTACCCAGGGGGCTGAGAAGGCTGAGCCTTGAATGAATGGCAGTGAGCAGACATCAGTGGAGGTGGACAGGACACTGAGGACAGAGTCACCCTCCCAGGGAGTCAGAAATGAGGGGTGCAGGGGAGTGGGAGGGAGGTGAGGGGGTAAGGTGGGGTGAAGGATGTGGAGGGGTCTCCTGGGCTCTGGCCTGAGCTAGGAAGGGGCAGGGCTGGGTCAGGAAGCTGGGTCTGGGCGCTGTGGTGCATCCTGGGTGACTGTGGGACGCTGGAGGAGGAAGAGTTCCCGCATTTGCGTCTGGGTTGGGACTGTCTAGGCGAAAGCTCAGTGTGAATTGTCTGCTGTGTTCCCGGTGTCCAAGGCCCCCAGGGGCTGGGTGAGTCCCAAGAGGGATGTAGGCCGAGCAGAGTTGGGCACTGAACCCCCAGGCTCCCCTTGTTGACCACCCAGCCAGAAATTCCCAGGGCAGAAGGTGGGGTCTGCTCACCCATGGGGCAGGCGGTCTGGGGATGTCTGACGCCTGGGCCTCTGGCCAGCAGGATGTGGACAGAAGTGGCCGCTGGGTGGGGCTGAGTGCAGAGGGCAGTGCCCATCTGCAGCGTGGCTATGCGCCCCACAGAGTGTGGGCCTGAAGCGGGGAAAGGACCCCCCTCAACACCTCAGGCCGGCGGGTCCCATTCCAGCTGCCACCCGGACTCAGCCTGAGGCCTCCTCACCTGCACCAGCTTAACTTGGATCCCCAGCCACCACGGCACCATAGCGCCCGATTCCCATCCCGGTGCCCCTGCTTCGGGCTCACTCACATCCCAGAGAGTCGGTGCCAGCAGGGCAGGGGACAGATCACGTGGGGCTCCTGGGGGACGAACAGTCGTGGGAGGCAGGGCTGCAAGGAGCCTGTGCGGAGGGGCCTCGAGGCTGGGGTGCAGGGAAGACCCCAAGGAGGAACTGTGCGGGGAGGGGCGAGTGCCCTGCGGGTGGGGGACCCCTGCCCAGCGGGACAGCCCTGAGAAGCTGGGGCCCAGCGTGGCAGGCAGGCACATCCTTCCCACCCCAGCTTCCCCCATCGCCCACGACACCCGTCCACACCTGTGGCCCAGCCACCTACACCCCGGCAAGTCCCACCGGCCTGTTCCACTGGGAAAACCCGCACACCCCCTTATCTGCAGGACACTGGCGCCCAAGCTTGTGGGAGGCCTGAGCCGTGGGCAGAGTGGGGGAGGGAGGGAGCCACTGGTTCCCGGGAGAGCTTCCTCTCCCCAACCCCCACAACAGGTGGCAATACCTGATCCCCAGGAGAAGGTGCTTCCTTCTGCTACCCGGCCTCACTTTCCCACCCTGGGATTCCCGAGCAGCCTCAGTGAGCAGCAGACTCCAGGCTGGGTCCCCATGAAGCGGGGGACTGCTATGCCTGCAGCCCAGGAGCAAGGTGCACAGTGCACCCGGGGGTGTCTCCAACCTGGTTCTACCTGGCTCCACGGGCAACGGTCCCAGTGGGCTGTGGTCCCTCCACGAGCTGTGGTTCTGTGGGCTGTGGTTTCGTGGGCTGTGGTCCCTGTGGGCTGTGCTGTGGCTCTCATCTGCCCCCCAAGGGGCCTGGCTGGACCTCTGTCTCCTCTGACGCTGCACTTGTCTGTGTCTCGGCCTTGGCTGCCGCTCCCCTGCCATGCGGGCTCGTCCCACACGGCCCCTGCCTTGAAGACATCTTCACATGGAGTTGGCAAAGCCCCGGGAGGCTCTGGGCCCTTGTATCGGGGTTGGGGGCGTTAACCAGCCCCCCGGGAGGCTCTGGGCCCTTGTATCAGGGTTGGGGGGTTAACCAGCCCCCTGGGAGGCTCTGGGCCCACTCTGTTTCTAACTGAGTCAGAGCCAAGATTAGAAAAGGCTGAAACCACCCCCTACAACCCAGGGCCCTGGCGCCTTTGCCAGCTGTTTCTAATCAGTCCGTGGTGTCAGCCACATGGTGTTGCCCCAGGATCCCCGAAGCCAAGTCAGCCTTCACTGTGGAGGAGCAGGGCGGCCTTGAAAGGAGCTCTGTCCTCCATGGGGCCTCGGCCAGGAAGGCACAAAGGGGCTTTGTCCCCAGCCCAAGCCTGGAAGACCCTCCTCCAGCTGTGGCCCTCGGGACTGTCTGGCCGGCTCGTCCTTGGGGGTTGCATCTCCCCAGGCTGCAGCATGGGCCCCAGTCAGCCGCTGAGGTGCAGAGGATGAGAAATTCCACAGAAAAGCATGTACGGACACCTTGGGGAAGCTTCCGGAAGAATGCATGCAGGAGGCTAGCCACATGCCCAGGGTGGGACTCGGGTCCAGTTCCCTGCTCCTGCCCCCACAGCATCCTCAAAGCACTGAAACATGAGCGCATGGGCCGTGGGGACGCACTGTCGGAGGTCACTGCCTGACCCGGTGCCCAGTGTCTGCCCTGGCCCGTACGGTCCCATCGATCTGCCCCAGACGTGCTGCAGCCGTGTGTTCAGGGCCCCAGGTCCCCCTAACTCCCGGGCTTGGCTTCCCCCGATACCACCCACGCTGGTCATCTCTTAGTCACCCTGACAATGGCCACTGCTCACAGGACAGTCCCACGCTCTGTGGCTGGGTGTGGAGGCCCCCACTGGCCCTTCCTGATACCTCTGCCCCCTCTTTTCTCCTCTCTCCCTCCTGTCCCACCCCTGGCTGCAGTTGACTCTAACATTTCACTGGCATTCACCCCGGCACAGCTCACAGGCTGCATTGCTACCTCTGGGCTTTGCTGCCTGGTGAGGTGTGGGCATCCTTCAAAGCCCAGTTCCCCAATCACCTCTTCCGGGAAGCCTCCCCTGACTGCCTGGGTGGCAATGACTCCTCCCCTTCTGTGTGCAATGGAAACAGGTGGCCTGAGGAGTCAAACGGTGCAAACCCTGCCCCACTCTGTTTGGGAAGCACCTGCTGTGTGGCAGGCGCTGCGCTTGGTGCTGGGGATAGACCATGGGGAAGAAACACACAGAACCTGCCCTGCTCTCAAGGAACAGGCCCTGGGGGCGGCCAGGGGCAGAGACCCAAGGCAGACACCCACACAGTGGCGTAATGACAGTGCTTATGGTGGGGACCTGGCTGCACAGCAGGTCAGCAAGGGGATGTTCAGGTGACACTGGGGGCACGGAGACCCAGGGGAGAGTGGATTGACAGAGGGGACGCTGGGCAAATGTCCCGAGGCTGAGGTGGAGTTGCGGGAAGGAGGAGGCTGCCGGGCAGAGGCGCAGAGAGCTTTGCAGGTGTTGGCAGAGACCAGCAGGCCCTGCGAGGCCTGGGGTGTGTCCTCAGCTGGGAGGGCCATAGAAGGATCTGGGCTTGCAGATGCTGGTGCAGACTGGAGGCCTGGGGTGTGAGAGTCCAGGCGGGGCTCCTGCCAACACCCAGGGGAGTGGGCCTGGGCCAGGTGGACCGGGAGCTGGCACGGTGGTCAGGTGCTTGGAGGCTGCGTGCCACGCTGGGGACCTGGAGGTGTGTGAGGAGGTGTCTGTTGCTCCTGGGGCTGCCGCCTGCAGGGCTGGGTGTGCAGCAGTGCGGGGCAATGAAGTGGGCGGGTTCTGGGATGGTGGACGTTCCCTTTGTTGGGAACGTGTTGGTGCCAAGCTGCCATTTGAGTTTGGCTCTGAGGGGTCTGGGCAGGGGACACACAGGGAATCACACAGGATGGAGTGAGTTCCCAGGGACCCAGGGTGGCTTGGCCTGAGAACAGCTCCCACTCCCAGATGTGTGGGAAGCCCTCGGCACCAAGCCTCAGCCTCTCCATCTGTGAAATGGAGACAACGTCACTGGACTTGCAGGCTGTCCATGAGGGTGATGCGATCAGAAAGGGTGGAGTTCCTGAACGCCCCGGGGTCGGGGTCTCACAGCAGGAGCTTAGCTGGTGTCGGCATCTCCTGGACCCGTCCTCAGCTCCGAGCGCCCAGTCCTGCCACCTGTGTCCAAGTCTGCACTGTGCCCACGAGGCCCTCAAGGCCGCAGACAGCCCCACACTTCTCGGACGCCGCCCCAGCACGGTCCTTGTGTGAGGTGGACACTCCTTCTGGACGCCGCCCCAGCACGGTCCTTGTGTGAGGTGGACACTCCTTCTGGACGCCGCCCCAGTACGGTCCTTGTGTGAGGTGGACACTCCTTCTAGGGAAGGAGTAGTAACTCTTGGGTGGTCGGGTAGTTGCCATGGAAAGGGGCAGTAATGCCCAGGTATTGCCGTGGCAACCGTAAACTGACATGGCGCACTGGAGGGCGTGCCTCATGGAAAGCTACCTGTGCCCCTGCCCTGTGTTAGCTAGGCCTCAATGTGGTCCAGTATCTGAGCACCGCCTCCTGCCTCAGATGTTCCCGTCTGTCACCCCATTACCAGGGCGGCACTTCGGGTCCTTTCCAGCCATCATTGTCCTGGCATTGCCACAGTGGACACTGCCACACAGGCTTGTGTGCTTGCGCGTACCCAGGTCCTCACCTCTCTGGGATAAACCAGGCACGTGGCGGCCGCCCCATTTTCCACCCGCCAGCGGTGGAGGAGTTGCCCAGCCTTGCAGGAAAACAGCTCTCATGCCAGCAGCGGAGCATCCTATTCAAGTTTTCTCAGGGCTGCCAGCACAAATGCTGCATGCCGGGCGGCTTCCTCAGCAGACCGTTGTTTCTCTGCGTCCTGGAGGCTGGACGTCCCAGGTCCCCGTGTGGCAGGCCCGGTTCCTCCCGCAGCCTCTCCTTGGCTTGTGGGCGGCGTCTCCTCCCTGGGTCCTCGCAGGGCCACCCCTCCGTGTGTCTGTGTCCTCCCTCCCCTTATAAGGACCCCAGGCAGACTGGATCAGGGCCTGCCCTAAGGACTGAATTTTACCTTAATCACCTCTTTAAAAGCTGTCTCCAAATACAGTCACCTTCTGGGGTCCTGGCTGTTAGGGCTTTGATGCATGGATTTGGGGGACACCGCTCAGCCCCTAACAGCCCCCATCCTCTGCCTGCCTTTACCATGGGGCTGAGCCCAGCCCTGCAGGAGTCCCCTGGTTTGATGTCTGCTGTGGCCACGGCGACCCTCAGGCTGCTCCAGCCGCACTTGTGCTTGTCTCTGCCTGGCCCTGGGGCTTCACCTCCTGAGGGGGTGGAGAGAGAGAGACCTGTCCCTCCCAGCTCTCCTGGCCTTGCCCACTGCAGAGCCCAGAGGGACATCCTCCACCGTGGGCCTGGGCTCAGGTGTGCTCCGCGTTCTCCGGCCCCTCCTCCAGGTGCGCTGCTCACAGCACACGTCTCCACGTCCTGGCATCCCGGGCCTCCCTGGGCTCCGTGGCCCCGGAGGGTGCCCCTCCCTCAGCCAGTACTGTGGGAAGAGCCCGGTCCCTCTGGGGCCAGATGAGCAGGGCAGAGTGAGCAGGTCCCCCTTTGGTGGAGATTCACGATCTCCACCCCGCCCAGCAGCCATCCCAGGCCGCAGTCTGCTGACTATCCCCAGCTCACACTTCTCACCAGCTGACACGGTGATCTGGCCGGGCACCTGCCCAGGGTCCCACCCGCAGAGGAACCCGCCTCTTCCAGGTTGGTTCCGGGCTCCTGGACGGATCACGCGCTGTTGACATGCAGTTGTAGCTTTTTTCTTGTGGGTGGGAGCAATGCTCTTCCCAGCTCCACCTGGAATTCCACCAGGGATGGGTGCAGCATCCTAACCCCGCCTTCCCTTGGAGAATTCACTGCTCTGGACAGACGCCTGGCCCAGGATTTCAAAGGCGCATCTGTTATGGACCGGGCCCCCAGAGGAGACGTCTTTTTGCCATTTTGTTTTCTGACCGGAGGGTTTTTTGGAGGTTGCCCTCCCACCCACCGGGTTGCTGGCAGCCCAGCCCGTGCTGTTTTCAGTGGACCCTTTTGCAAATGTCTTCACAGGCTCCCGGGAAGCTGAGCTGAACAGTGACCTCAGCCTTGAGCAATCCCGAGGATGTGTTTGCTGAGGAAATCATTAAACAGGGAGATGAGAGCACTCAACCCCCAACATGCCAGGCTCTGCGGGAGGCTGCTTATTCCTGTGGCCTCGGGCCAGGTGCCCCAGCGTTTGCTGCCCTTGGTAGACACTTGTCTGGCCTGAGCCCTCGGGCACCATACACCGACATGGTTAGGGCAGCCAGGGTCAGCCCGGGCCCCTGGGAGAGCTGAGTGGAGGGACCACTGGCCAAGCACAGAGGGTGCAGGGTGCCCAGGACCAGGCGTCACCTGATGGTCACCTGGGGGAACCTGCTCACTCCGCCCTGCTGCCCTGCTCACTGCTCGGGGGCCCAGCCAGGCCGGGGACCAGGGCCTCAGAGTGGAGGGGGGTCAGGGCCCAGGGCCTCAGGGTGGAGGATGGTCAGGACTCAGGGCCTCAGGGTGGGTGGTCAGGGCCCAGGGCCTCAGGGTGAAGGGGGGTCAGGGCTCAGGGCCTCAGGGTGGAGGATGGTCAGGACTCAGGGCCTCAGGGTGGAGGATGGTCAGGACTCAGGGCCTCAGGGTGGAGGCAGTCAGGACTCAGGGCCTGAGGATGGAGGGGGTCAGGCCTCAGGGCACTGGACAGCTGACTGGCTTCTTCCCAACCCTTTTCCTTCTTTTCGCCCAACATAACCACTGGGAGGTATCCACAGAAGGGGGCTCCTCAAACACTGCCTGGTGTCCTCTGTCTCAGCCCCAGGGGAAAGGACTCGCACGGGGCGGAGTGGGAACTTTGGGTGAAACTGGGCAGGGGGTGCTGGCCAAGGCGGGGGAGAGGGTGGACTCCCATCAGGTCAGGAGCTCCGAGGTGAGGCCTCTGCTAGGGTGGAGGGTCTCAAGATGGGGAGGGAGGGGTTGTGGGAAAGGGGAGGGGAGGTGGAGCCGCTCCAGGAGCCTCACGGGCCTTCGGGATGGAGCCGCTGGGCGTTGGCGAGAGGCTTCCGTCCACGGCACAGCCCCGCACGGGGGCAGAGGACGGGAAGGGACCCAGGGCAGCCCCGAACCACCTCAGACTTTTGGAAAATGAACTGGAAAGAAACAAGACTTCTTTTGAAAAGAAGAATGTCCTTTTTTATTTTGACTTTTTGTCATCGATATTTTTTGCGTTACTCCTGGTTTTAAAAAGAATTGCATTAAAATACCGCTTTTCTGATGAGTGAGTTTTTGGAACACCCCCCTGCTCCCTGCTTTAATTTTGCCCTGGAGAGGAGCACCTCATTCTACTCTGGGCTGTGCATCTTTGGAAGGAATGCTGAGACCCCCGGTTCCCACTGTCCCCGTGGGCCATACCCCGTGAGCCAGCGGGACCAGCTCCGAAGGCAGAAGGTCAGGCCGGGGTCAGCTTCAGCCTTGGCGGGGGCAGCCGCTCAGCAGAGGGTGGCCCAGGGAGGCCAGGCTGGCTAAGGGCAGGGCCAGGACCACCCAGAATGGGAGGCCCACAGCCCACCAAGGGGTTGCCCCGTGGGAAGACATGGGGAATGGGTCTGGCCCTCTCAGCACGCTGTGGAGTGTGGCAGAGGGCGGGGGTCGTGTCCTGGAAGGAGGAGGCTGAGCCTCCAGAGAGCAGCGTCGGGCTGGAAGATTAGGGGAATGCTGTGTGTACAAGGCCCAGCCATGACAAGCAGTGACTGTGGTTTTAGCCAAGAGTGGGCAGTGAGGGAGGGGACACACGTGGCGGATAGGGTGGGGGGTGGCCCCCACAGGACATCAGGAGGGACCTAAGTGAAGGAGGAAGCGCTGGCAGGCCAGGCACCCACCCTCGGGGGCCAACTATCCAGAGAGGGGCAGGGGGAGGGCAGGGGGAGGGGGCTGAGAGCGGGCAGAGGCAGGGCTGGAGCAGGGGCTGAGAGCAGGCAGTGGGAGGGCAGGGGGAAGGGGCTGAGAGCAGGCAGGGGGAAGGGGCTGAGAGCGGGCAGGGGGAGGGCCGGGGCAGGGGCTGCTGCCTCCTGGAAACGTTTCATGTTGTCCTTGCACTATTTACAGTGAGGATTATTTATAAAACCCAAATCGCTTTAAAGCCATTTCCAGGTTTTACATGAACAAAAATCTATTTGAAAAAAGAAAATAATAAAATAAACATTTAAAAATCTTTCTTAGAATTCCCTAAATTTCAGGGCCGTGTGTGTGCCCATGTGTGGTATTTGTGTGTGTGCGTCTGTGCATCTGTGTCAGTGTGTCTGTGTCTGTGAGTCTGTGTGTCTGTATCTGTGTGTCGGTGCATCTCTGTGTCTGTGTGTGTCTGTGTCTGTGTGCCTGTGTGTGTGTCTGTCACTGTGTGTGTGTGTCTGTGTGTCTGTGCATCTGTGTGTCTGTGTGTGTCAGTGTGTCTGTGTGTGTGTCTCAGTGTGTCTGTATCTGTGTGTTGGTGCATCTGTGTGTCTGTGTCTGTGTCTGTGTGCTTGGGTGTCTGTCACTGTGCGTCCGTGTGTCTGTGCATCCGTGTGTCTCTGCATATGTGTGTGTGTGTCAGTGTGTCTGTATCTGTGTGTTGTGCATCTCTATGTCTGTGTATGTGTGTCAATGTGTCTGTGTGCTTGTGTGTCTGTCACTGTGTCTGTGCATCCATGTGTCTGTGCGTCTGTGTGTCTGTGCATCCGTGTGTCTGTGCATATATGTCTGTGTACGCACACAGCTGATCCTCTGACACCGAGGAGGAGACACAGTGGGGATTCTGGGTCTGGCAGGCTCTCTCCTCTGCATCTCTCAAGCCTCCCACAACCCCCTTAGTGTCCACCCATGCTGTAAGAGGAGACCATCTGGAGTCCCAGGTGTTTTAGAGACTGGAAACCAGCCCACGGGGCCCCTGGAGGAACAAAAACCAGCTCCCAGCCAGCGCATGCACACCTGAGACACGCCCTCAGCCACTGGCTTCTGCCACTGCTTTACTGGGTCAGCCATGAGTGGGGCTGAGGAGCCCGCCCTCCCATCAACGTGTTGCTACCTGGAGAGCATTGACAGACTTGGGCCATTCCTCTCCGTGGCGGGTGCCCCTGTCTTCCTGTCTACATGAGTCCAGGGGCCCTGTGGTGCATGGGAACAGCCAGGAGGGGTGGCTCAGCAGGACTAAGATGAGAGACTATCATGAGACCCGGGCACATTCCCACCAACAGCGGGTTCCTTTCCGTCCCCGCATCTTCCCTCACCAGCAAGCCCCTGTGCAGAGCCCAGACTCCACAAAGGCCCATCAGTCATCACTGTCCACATGTGCATCCGATGTGTAGGGTGGCGGCGGGGACGAGGCTCAGACAGACAAGACACCCCAGGGTCAGCCAGGCCGGCCTGTCCCACTTGAGCTGGGCTGAGACACCAATGTCACCCCTCTTGAAGCCCCCAAAGCTTGCTCTCTGGCCGACAGCTGGCTTTTGAGCCAGAAGGCTGGTGACCCTGTTAGGATCTGGCAGACCCGCCAGGGTGGCTCCCAACTCACCCACTTCCCGCCCTGAGGTCCTCTCCTCCCTCCCCACCCTCTGGCTACATGGACTCTCCATCCTGGAACACCGGGCATGACCTGACTCGCCTTTGCCTCGCCGTTCCCTCTGCCTGCGATGCTGTTTCCCCGACCACACAGGCCTCCCTGGCTCCTGGCCTCCTCCAGTCTTTTCTCAGGGTCTTCTCCGTGAGGCCCCTCTGACAACCCCGTTCACATTCCTAACCAGCACCCAGCAGCCTGTCTCATTGTCTCTTACTGGAATGTGTGTTTGCACGGCAGGGATTTTCCCCCTGCTGTGTGGTGATGGATCCCCAGCGTCTGGAACTGCTTCCAATGCGAAGGAGCTCGGAAGCCTTCAGTGTGGGGATGAGTGAGTGAGGCAGGCGGCTGCCGGTGCGGGGAAGACAGTTAGGGTTGTTCTTACATGATAGTTTTTAAAGATGCCATCTTTTCAACCAAGAAATTCTACTTCTAGGCCCCTGCCCTGGAGAAACAATGAACTGGTGGGGAAGAGTTTCATCATTTCAAATGCTCGGCCATGGTTTCTGTGACCTGTGGGTCTGGTTCCTCCATGGATGGAGCAGATGTCAGCGGCCTTTGACTGGAGAAGGTCGTGGGTCTTGCAGGCTTCAAAAGCTTCTTCGTTTATGTTGTGCCAAGAAAGCTATGGCTGGGAACGGTTCCCTCCCTCAGTGTCTGCTTGTGGCAGCTCCCGGGCGTTTCTGGGCTGCCTCACCCCGCACTGCACTGGCCTCAGAGCCAGGCCTTCATCTGACCAAGTCCCCACCTCCTGCTGTCTTCACTAGTGCTGTTCTTTATCTGTCTTTGGGTTCCTTTTAGTATTTTCCCCTAAATTTTCAAATGATGTGTCTGGTTGGTTGAATGTGAACCTTTCTTGATTACTAGGTAAATGCATCTGGTCTTCCTGGTGTGGCCGAGTCCCACAGGTGCAGTGTGGGGCACCCACGTGCCTTCCCTGGAGTGAGGAGTCCGAGCTCTCCTCTCCGTCTCTGCTCATGATGGGGGCCATGCTCCCCCGTGCCCTTCCCAGCAAAGATGGGGCCTCCAGGGCTCCACTCCCACTCCCGAGCCCCTTCAGTGTGGACACATCTCACTGTTACCCTGGTATCCGTTCACAGTCACTGAGACTTGGCCAGCAGCTTTGCTGCCTTTGTGTTGGTTTTTGTCAACACTCTGTTCTGTGTCCCATGCCAGCCGAGAGGCCTGTGGGGGTGGCTAGTGGGGGGAAGCTTGGCCTGCAGGTGAAGGCAGGGCTGGGGGCCCTTCTGGGCCATGGTGCCAGCCTGTCACCTTCGTGTTTTCTGCCATCAGGTGTCAGGGTCCCACTGGGCCTTCAGCTGCCTGTGCTACCTGGGCATGTGCCCCCTCCCCAAATATGTGCCCCTCCCCAGACCTGTGCCCCCTCCCCAGATCTGTGCCCCTCCCCACACCTGTGCCCCCTCCCCGGATCTGTGCCCCCTCCCCGGACCTGTGCCCCCTCCCCAGACCTGTGCCCCCTCCCCGGACCTGTGCCCCCTCCCCAGACCTGTGCCCCCTCCCAGGCCTGTGCCCCCTCCCGGGCCTGTGCCCCCTCCCTGGATCTGTGCCCCCTCGCCGGGCCAGTGCCCTCTCCCTGGACCTGTGCCCCCTCCCCAGGCCTGTGCCCCCTCCCTGGATCTGTGCCCCTCCCCGGACCTGTGCCCCCTCCCTGGATCTGTGCCCCCTCGCTGGGCCAGTGCCCTCTCCCTGGACCTGTGCCCCCTCCCCAGGCCTGTGCCCCCTCCCCGGACCTGTGCCCCCTCCCAGACCTGTGCCCCCTCCCCAGACCTGTGCCCCCTCCCCAGACCTGTGCCCCCTCCCCGGGCCTGTGCCCCCTCTCTGGGCCTGTGTTTTCCCAAACATACCCCATGGAGAGGAGCTGGGTCCTCACAGGTTCAAAATTGTCCTATAACCCTGGGGGGGTTACGGTGTGTGCGAGGGATGGAAACCAGACTCTGAGGTAGACGTGTGTGTGAGGAGTGTCAGCCCCCGTCCCTGGAGGGCGAGGAGGGGAGTCCAGGGAGGCCCCACCCCTGGCCTGGGGAGATGGGTCTCGGTGAAGAACCAGGGCCACACTGGCATCACAGGCAGGCCCAGTCCTGGTGGATATGTCCAGGCCGCCCCTTTTCCTCCCCTCCATCCAGGGTGCACCAGGCTCCTCCCCTCAGAGACCACCCAGCCGGAAGCCCAGGCTCCCCAGGTCACCAAAAGGGGCTTGCAGGGCCTCCTAGGTGCCACAGGGTGCCGGGGGTGAAATGTGACTCTACCAGGCAGCCGTCAAAGAAACAGGTGTAACTGCATCCCCAGCGTGGAGAGGAGGCTGGCTCGGGCCAGCAGGGTCCCAGAGAGAGCCCAGGGTCCGGGAAGCAGAGCAACCTCAGGCAGCTCCAGGGGGACGTTGATGGAGGGACCATTGGCAACGGTGGAGCAGGGAGTAGGGAGAAAGCGAGCCCATGGCTGGAGCGCGCCAGGAGGGTGAGGTGAGGGCGGGGCCCCTGGAGCCTTAGTGCAGGGAGACAGGCTGCCTGTGCACCTGCCGAGAAGGAGCCCTCCCCGACCTTGGACTGCCAATACCCGAGGCCAAACCCACCCTCCCCAGCCTGTGCCAGCCCCAGGGTCAGCCTGGGCAGAGCGTGGTGGGGAGAGGTGCCCAGGGCACCTGGAGGGGTAGGAGGGGACACCTGCCCTGCTGTACACAGTCCCTGCTTCCCCCATGTGCTCCCCACCAGCCTGCAGGGAGCATGGAGTTGCTTTCACTTCATCAAGATCCTGGAGCACCTCTTCCTGCTGCCTCAAGTGGCCCACAGTTTCCACGACACCTCTCTGGTTTCCGGAGCTCCTGAGCTGGGATGTAAGCCACCAGCATTCATCTCTGGCCCCTGCCTCAGGCCCTTCGACTCCCAAAATAATGGGCAGGAGTGGGAGCTTCATCCAAGGCCCCTGCACACTGCCTTGGTTCACAGTGAAATCTGGAACACGGCATCTTGGTTTCCAGGAAAACTGCCTTGGGTGCCATGGCGCAGCCTGCCCACACTTCAGGCACAGAGCACAGAAGATTCTGTGGTTTCCACACCTGGGAAGAGAAAAGAAAAACCTTCCAGGTACTTTAAAGTTCCAGAAAAATGAGAAATGCTTGGCCACAGGTACACCTACAAACCCTGCTGTCTGCACAAACCTTGCTGCAGAAGTCACAGGAAGGCTCTAAGGAGCAAAGAAGGAAGAGCCGGCCCCTCCTCTCTGGGAGACTGTAGGAGAATGAAGGAACCCTAGGTGGCAGCGGCTGAGCTCATGGTCCGCTGACGACATTGCCTGGGGTGGGAAGGAAGCCCAGCCAGCCCAGGCAGCCATGGGCCAGCCATGGGTCTCAGAGGGAGAACAGAGGCCTCCCGCCACCAGCAGCACTAGTGTGCCAGCCACGTGCCTGGACCTGGACCCTGCAGCCCTGGGGAGGCTCTCGGATGACAGTGGCCCCAGAGGCATCCAACTGCAGCCTCATGAGAGCCCTGTGCCCCAGCGCCCAGCTAAGCTGTGCTGGATTTCCTGGCTCAGAGGAACTGTGAGGATAAGGAAGGTTTATTGTAGGTTGTTGTGAGCCATTAAACTTGGGGTGCTTTGTTAGGACACAATGGATAGCAAATACACCACTGACCGGTTAGGAGCCCCCAAACTGGGGAGAAAGTCTCACAGGGGAGCCTGTGCTCACAGGGACGGAGTCAGCCTCACACACAGACACATTTTGTTATGGGTTGAATGGTGTCCCCTCCCCCCAAAAAAGGACGCACTGAAGCCCTACACCCCCATACCTGTGTGTGTGACCCTACTTGGAAATAAGGTCTTTGCAGATTTAATCACGTTAAATCAAGTTCATTAGGATGGGCTGTAATCCAATGTGACTGTGTCATCACCAAAAGGGGAAATGTGGACACAGACACAGACCCACAAGGAGGAGGCCACATGAAGATGGAGGCAGAGACTGGAGTGATGCACAGGCCAGGGGACACTGGGGGCTGCTGGGAGCTGGGAGAGGCGGGAGGGATCCTCCCCAGAGCCTCTGGAGGGGGCACGGCCCCACCCACACCTTGATCTGGGACTTCTGGCTCCAGATCTGTGAGAGAACCTCTGTTCTTAGCCATCAGTTTTGTGGAACAGTGTTGCAGCAGCCCCAGAAAACGAATGCAGATTTCTGCACCTTTTAAGAGCAAAGACAGTCTGGGCGTGGTGGCTCATGCTTGTAATCCCAGCACTTTGGGAGGCCAAGGCAGGTGGATCACCCGAGGTCAGGAGTTCAGGACCAGCCTGGCCAACATGGCGAAACCCTGTCTGTACTAAAAATACAAAAAAATAGCTGGGCGTGGTGGCAGGTGCCTGTAATCCCAGCTACTTGGGAGGCTGAGGCAGGAGAATCACTTGAACCCAGGAGGCGGAAGTTGCAGTGAGCCGAAATTGCACCATTGCCCTCCAGCTTGGGCAACAAGAGCAAAACTCCGTCTCAAAAAAAACAAAAGAAAAGACAATCAAAACACAGCTCAAGTGAGCAGCATTTGTACTGAATCAATTGGCCTCTGTTTAGTACTATTAATTAGACAAGAAAAAAGGGAGTTGTCTTTGTGTACCACTGGGGGTTTGCAGTTTTTAGATAATAAGTTTATTTTAAGTAACTATGATTTTCATTTTCTTTCAGTGTTCAGGTAGCCACAACTTGACCATGGGGACCCCTTGAACTGGCACGACCTCCCGTCCGCACCCAAGTCCCCACCAGCCTGTCCCTCTGATGGTTCTGGGCTGGGTGTGGCAGGGAAAGGGCAGAAGTGAGACTTTGACCTGGTGGGTGCACACGCCTAGGTGTAAATCTAGCTCCAACATCTTACATGAGAATGAATTGAATTCAGATTCTTTAATGGCTCACCCTGGAGTTTTATCCCTCCTGGTAATAATTTCATGACCAACACAATTCTTTGTTTAGCTGAGTATTTTGATTCTGGTGAGCATCATTTCATGTGTGTGGTGTTGTCAACAGCCACAGGTGAGTCTAAAATAATAGCACAGGGTCTTGTGACGGTGCTGGGAACCTCTCCGCTCATACTGGCCCGCATGTCTTCGGACGGGAGTCGCAGCGCAAGCTTGCAGGTGGTCATTGCTGGGAGTGTTAAGGCAATACAGGTCTCTGAGAAGAGAGAAAAAGGTGTCTTTATATTCAGAATAGTCAGGGAACAGCGCTGGTGTTTACAGCTGATGTGAAGTGACCAACACAGAGAAGAAACAGACACGCCCAGGTCAAGGGAATTTGTCTTTAACATATTTTTTTTAAATAACCCACAATTTGGTGTTGAATTCTAATTTTTAAAAGACACTCAGGTATTTATTTATTTGAGACGGAGTCTCGCTCTGTCGCCCAGGCTGGAGTGCAGTGGTGCAATCTTGGCTCACTGCAAGCTCCGCCTCACGGGTTCACGCCATTCTCCTGCCTCAGCCTCCTGAGTAGCTGGGACTACAGGTGCCAGCCATCATGCCTGGCTGATTTTTTGTATTTTTAGTAGAGATGGGGTTTCACCGTGTTAGCCAGGATGCTCTCGATCTCCTGACCTCATGATCCGCCCGCCTCCGCCTCCCAAAGTGCTGGGATTACAGGTGTGAGCCACCGTGCCCGGCCAGGTATTTATTTCTTAATGCCCTATTCCTACAAAGTGCAAAGGCCATTTGAGAATGTCAGAAACTATAATGAAATAAGATCAAAATACAATAGCTTTCCACATGGATATTATTAGAGATGCTTGCCCTTAAATTTCACCCTGCAATTCAGGTTAAGGAGCAATTTTATAGGCCTTTATAACATTATGATATAATCAATGCTTCTATAAAATCCCGTTTATGAATGACAAGGGACCCATCGTGTGTGTCAGAGTCACTCACAAAACGTTTAATGAGCTGTTCAGGTAATGACATGACCCAACAGGGGATTTCCAAAACGCCCAGTCTTTCAAAAACGATATGAAAATCTCCAAATCGGACATTTAAAATGATTCATATTATTATTAGGAAAAGCATATAAGATGTATTAAAGAAGAAGCATGGTTTGGCTCCTTTTTAAACATTTTAATTAGTGGACTTTGTTACTTAGAGCAGTTTTAGGTTTACAGAAAAACTGAGTCTCAGGTCCAGGGAGCCCCAGTGTCTCGGCTCCCCTGCGACTGACATCCTGCTTCCTGTGCTGCGTTTGTTACAATTATCAGTCGCGCGAACACACGGCTCACATTAGGGCTCACTCCTTGTGTCGAACATTTTATGGGTTTTGACAAGTGTGTCATGACATGGATCCACTAGTTGTGGTCCCTTTTATCAGGTTAAAAATAAAACGGGGCCTTGCAGAGATTTAAATGTGGTAGTAATCACCTTTGTTATATTTTTCCTTCTGAAAATATTAGCCTTGGAAGGAAATGTTTTAACAACTAGCCACTGTTCTGTGTCTGGGCACATGTCCATAGTGAGCGTATTCTCTTATCTGCTTCATGCTGTTGCCAATTTACAGACCAGTCGCTCAGAAGCTGTGATTTTTCTTCTGAGCATAAGCTTATCCTCAATATGGAAACTTTAATTCAAAATACAGTTTGGTCTCATAGGAGCATTGTAGTCTTGCTGGCTGGAATTCACGTGGAGACCGATGCCAGTGCCTCTTTCCTCTGCATCCATCCATCCATCCATCCATCCATCCATCCATCCACCCACCCACCCATCCATCCATCCATCCATCCATCCATCCATCCATCCATCCATCCATCCATCCACCCACCCGTCCATCCATCCACCCATCCATCCATCCATCCATCCACCCATCCACCCGTCCATCCATCCATCCACCCACTCGTCCATCCATCCATCCATCCACCCACCCGTCCATCCATCCACCCACCCATCCATCCATCCATCCACCCATCCATCTATCCATCCATCCATCCATCCATCCATCCATCCATCCATCCATCTATTTATCCATCCATCCATCTATTTATGCATCCGTCCATCATCCATCCATCCCTCCGTTTGCTCATTTCCACCCAGGAATCCATCATCTCTCAAACTAAGGTTTCGACATCATTCCTTCTTTTCAGAAAGTGCAAACCAAAGCTAAGACTGGCTCACACATGCCACGCGGGAGTTAGAGTGAGAGCATTTTTCAGATCCTTGTTCTCTTCTGGCCCCACCTCCCGCAGTTTCTGGAAGTCCCAGGACAGGGAAAAGGAGAGAAAGGCAGAAAAGAAATTATCGAGTGTGGCTCTTCCCTCTCCTCAGAGGAAATTGTTCACCTGCCACCCTCGGAAATTTAATTTTCAGTGTTAAAACTTGAAATTTTATAGTAGTATGTGTACCAAAGTTATAAAATGGGCAAACTTGTCTAAACGAGGATTCCTACATTGTTATGACATTTTCCCCAGAGAATCACAAGCTCTGAGATACACTTGTGAACCTTACTTATGCAGACATTCTCTTAAACTGGGATTCTTTCTCTCAGTTTACCTTAGGCTAACACAGAAACATATTTTGACACAGAAAGAATTTTTTCTCTTCATTGCTCAAGTCACCTGGAGGCAGCTCCTGCCTGGGGTGGATGCCTCCGACCCCTGGGAATGACCCCTGCAGCCACCACTGAGCCCCCCACAGAAGGAGGCTCGTGCCTGGTCCAGCTTTCCCACCCGGGGTCTCTGTGGCTGGCTCCCCCCAGCTCGGGGCAGAAGCCTAATTCAGGGTTGTTCTGCTCAGTTGATCCAGTCGGACGCTAGGATTTGCCTGGGGGCCCGGCCTGCCAGCAGTACAGGTGAGGGGACGCAGGCTTGGTCACAAGCACCCCTGCTGACCTTCCCTACAGACCTGGCACATTTAATCTTCTTCTTTGGGGAGGAGAAGAGGATGCATTCAGAAATGCCTTTGCTGATGAGGCCCTCAGGAGCTTGTACTGGAATCACTCAAAATTCCCAAGTAGCCTGAGTGTCCTAATTCATTTCTGTGTACATCTGCCTAATTCTCAATCCACGTCTAAGGTTAGAATGAACATTTGAATTAGCCATTCTGGACAACACACACACGCACTATACCATGCATTTAGATCTCTCTGTACCTTGCTCGTGTCAGCACAAACGCAGCCCCTCTCTTTTCAAAAGCCCGGTTCGTTTTCCAGCAGGCGCGTGCTTTCATTAGACTTTCCCTCCTGTGGGTTCTGGCAGATTTCCCAACACAAGCACGGCAGGAAGTGCATTGTGTTTGTAGAAAATCCAAAATAATCTCTAGGTGAGTGTTAGGATGAAAAATGAATTTAGTGTTGGTACAGGTTTTTGCTTGTTGTACTTTTTGTGGGGGAGGGTGATAAAAATATTCCAAAATTGATTGCGATGATGGTTGTGCAATTCTGTGAATATACTAACAAGCACTGAACTCTATACTGCAAACAGGTGAACTGTATGGTATGTGAATTATATTTTAATAAAGCTGTTATTTTTAAAAAGTAAATTTAGCAACAACACTGGATACAAGCTAAATATACAAAAATTAATTATCTTTATACAGACCAGCAACTAATAATTAGAAAATGAGAATTTTTAAATGATACCATTTTGGTAGTATCAAAACCCATCAATTACCTAGTAACTGTTCAGTAAAATATTCCAAAAACAGCAAAACATTGACTAAGGTACATTAAAGAAGATTTAAATAGCCCAGGCATGGGGGCTCACGCCTGTAATCCCAACACTTTAGGAGTCCTAGGAGAGCAGATCACCTGAGGTCAGGAGTTCGCGACCAGCCTGGCCAACATGGTGAAACCCCATCTCTACTAAAAATACAAAAATTAGCCAGATGTGGAGGTGTGCGCCTGTAATCCCAGGTACTTAGGTGGCTGAGGCAGGAGAATCGCCTGAACCTGGGAGGTGGAGGTTGCAGTGAGCGGAGATCTCACCACAGCACTCCAGCCTGAGTGACAGAAAAAAAAGAAAAAAAAAAAAGATTTAAATAAAGGAAGGGATATGATATATTTATGGATTAAAAGCAAGTTAAAAACAAGTTAACAAACACAACAATTGATCTATAAATTCCATGTAATCACCATTAAAATCCAGGCCAAAGTGTGTGAGTGTGTGTGTGTTGCGGGTAGGGGGTTGCCAAGCTAAAGTTTACGTGGGAATGGACGGGGCAAGAACAGCAAGACGACCTTGAGGACGACCAAAGCGAGGGACTCGGCCCCCAGGTGCCAGTGCCCACCACAAAGCTATAGGAGTCCAGACCAGGCCACACAGCGGTCAGTGAAGTGGGATGGAAGGTCCAGACCAGGCCACACAGTGGTCAGTGAAGTGGGATGGAAGGTCCAGACCAGGCCACACAGCGTCAGTGAAGTGGGATGGAAGGTCCAGACCAGGCCACACAGCGGTCAGTGAAGTGGGATGGAAGGTCCAGACCAGGCCACACAGTGGTCAGTGAAGTGGGATGGAAGGTCCAGAAACACGCACACGGGACACTTGATCCACAACAGATTCAGGATTGCAGACCAGGGGCACGGGGAACCTCTTTACTCGTGGTACCAGCTCAGTTGCAGATGCATACGGAACGCAGGAAGCCGGGGCCCCACGTTCCCCCATATGCAGTCTGCAAATGCAAACACGGAGGCTGAAACAAACACGTCTGGAAGAAATCACAGGGGAGCATCTCCCCTGCTGTGCCCAGGATCCACGGGTGAGCAAGACAGGGTCCCTGTCCGGATGGGGTTTCATTTGGGGGTGCGGAGGGGGTGCAGAACCAAAAAAAAACCAAGCAAGCGAGTGAAACAGGGAGCTCGGAAGTGGGCGCTCGCATAGGCCAAGGTGGGGAAGGCTGGCAGGCACGTGTGTGTGCAAGGACACCAAATGTTGATCTGCAGAGCAAAGCTGGGCAACAGCAACCACATTAACCAATAGACGTCGGCTTATCCAGGCCATGGGACGATGTGTAGCTGTTAACATAAAGGTCTATCTGGCTGGGTACGGTGCCTCACGCCTGTAATCCCAGCACTTTGGGAGGCTGAGGCGGGCAGATCATGATATCAGAAGTTGGAGACCAGCCTGACCTGGTTTAGTAGAAACCCTGTCTCTACTAAAAATACAAAAATTAGCTGGGCATGGTGGGACGCACCTTTAGTCACAGCTACTCGGGAGGCTGAGGCAGGAGAATCGCTTGAACCCGGGAGGTGGAGGTTGCGGTGAGCCGAGATCATGCCACTGCACACCAGCCTGGGTGACAGCGTGAGACTCACTCTCAAAAATAAATAAATAAATAAATAAATAATGAATAAAATAAAGGTCCGGATGAGTTTGGAATGTGGAAGGAACCACACCGGGAGTGGCGCTGGGTGTGTCCGTGTGAATGTGAGAGGATGTGTGCGTTCCATGCGGTGCTGCAGAGGGTGGAAAGGCAGCATGGTATAGCAGCCAGTGGCCGGGACCCATCCGTGAACCCAGTCTTGGCTCAGCACTCCACGGTGGGGTTTTCTGCCCCTGCCACAACTCGGAGGACAGAGGGAGTTGGATGAAGTGCCAGGACTGTGATGAGGAGGGCTGGCTGGGAGGCAGGACTCTGACCTGTGTTCGCGGAAACATCCATCTGCTCCACAGTCAGACAGAGCCTGTGGCAGAGGCCATGGAGGATTTTCTGGTGGCCACAGACTGTCCTGTGGAATTCCAGCTCGTCGTTGGTCAATGGGATGAAGTTTGGCTTTAGAGGTGGATGAGACAAGTTGGGCTCTACCCAGAGCAAACTAAAGCTGCTCCTGGTCAACAAACACCAGCTCAGCTGGCCCAACCGATGCCTCGGCCCTGGACACACAGCTGGGGGGAGGCCGGGTGAGGAGACTCTGTCCGTGGGATTCCACCTGCCCCGTGGGAGTGAGAGCACAGGCATCGCTCACGGCGCTGCAGGCCATGTCCACCACAGTGCAGCGCAGCCCTCTAGGCCGCGCCCACATTGCCCAGGCTCCGCTCGGCCTCATCCTCGATTTCAGGCCTCTGTGACTTACCCTTGGGGCCCAGCATAGCACAGACACTATGTCTGTTTAAATAGGAGAGCATAGAAAAGCCGAGTCCCTGCAAGGGACAACCGGCTTGAGATGACAGTCAGGGTCTCAGGCGAGACGGCCTCCAGCCGCCTTCAGAGCAGGTGCCTATCAGCGGGGCCACGTGGTGGTTTCACAGTGCCTTGGTCCCCAGTGCCGAACCTGCCCCCTTGCCCGAAAGCCGGGCTAAGCCAAGCAGCTGTGGTTGACGGTTTTGCCTCAGGAATTGTGTGTGTAATTTAGCGACAAAACAAAGCAGGCACAAGGAAGACTCAAACAGGGAGGTCCCTGAAGATGGGAGACAAATGACCAATGGACAGAATTTCATGTCCTATTGGTGGCCTAACAGCTTGGAGAAGCATTCCAACTGGATTTTCAACACAAGGAATTGGTTAGACGTCCCTGGCGGGGTGTGTCTCTTCCAGCTGGATTTTCAACACAGGGAATTGGTAACACGTCCCTGGCGGGGTGTGTCGCTTCCAGCTGGATTTTCAACACAGGGAATTGGTTAGACGTCCCTGGCGGGGTGTGTCGCTTCCAGCTGGATTTTCAACACAGGGAATTGGTAACACGTCCCTGGCGGGGTGTGTCGCTTCCAGCTGGATTTTCAACACAAGGAATTGGTTAGACGTCCCTGGCGGGGTGTGTCGCTTCCCACTGGATTTTCAACGCAGGGAATTGGTAACACGTCCCTGGCGGGGTGTGTCGCTTCCAGCTGGATTTTCAACACAGGGAATTGGTTAGACGTCCCTGGCGGGGTGTGTCGCTTCCAGCTGGATTTTCAACACAGGGAATTGGTAACACGTCCCTGGCGGGGTGTGTCGCTTCCAGCTGGATTTTCAACACAAGGAATTGGTTAGACGTCCCTGGCGGGGTGTGTCACTTCCCACTGGATTTTCAACGCAGGGAATTGGTTACACGTCCCTGGCGGGGTGTGTCGCTTCCAGCTGGATTTTCAACACAGGGAATTGGTTAGACGTCCCTGGCGGGGTGTGTCGCTTCCCACTGGATTTTCAACACAGGGAATTGGTTAGACGTCCCTGGCGGGGTGTGTCGCTTCCCACTGGATTTTCAACGCAGGGAATTGGTTACACGTCCCTGGCGGGGTGTGTCGCTTCCAGCTGGATTTTCAACGCAGGGAATTGGTTACACGTCCCTGGCGGGGTGTGTCGCTTCCAGCTGGATTTTCAACACAGGGAATTGGTTAGACGTCCCTGGCGGGGTGTGTCGCTTCCAGCTGGATTTTCAACGCAGGGAATTGGTTAGACGTCCCTGGCGGGGTGTGTCGCTTCCAGCTGGATTTTCAACACAGGGAATTGGTTAGACGTCCCTGGCGGGGTGTGTCGCTTCCCACTGGATTTTCAACGCAGGGAATTGGTTAGACGTCCCTGGCGGGGTGTGTAGCAGGATAAGAGGAGCCACGCAGAAATATCGGGCTGCAGTCTCTAATTGGGTTGCTGATAATAATATTTGTATTCTTTTTTTTTTTTTTTTTGGCTGTTGTTGTTGTTTTTTGTTTTTGTTTTTGAGACAGAGCCTCGCTCTGTCGTCCAGGCTGGAGTGCAGCAGTGCAGTCTCAGCTCGCTGCCGTCTCCGCCTCCCAGGTTCAAGCCATTCTCGTGCCTCAGCCTCCCCAAAAGCTGGGATTACGGGCACCCGCCACCACGCCTGGCTAATTTGTGTATTTTTAGTGGAGACAGGGTTTCACCATGTTGGCCAGGCAAGTCTCAAACTCCTGACGTCATGTGATCCACCCGCCTCAGCCTCCCAAAGTGCTGGCATTACAGGCGTGAGCCACCGCGCCAGGTCTGTTGGCTTGTTTTTGAGACAGGGTCTCACTCTGTCGTCCAGACTGCAGTGCAGTGGTGTAATCACAGCTCACTGCAACCTGTAACTCCCGGGTTCAAGAGAGTCTCCTGCCTCAGTCTTCCAAATAACTGGAACTACAGGTGTGCACCACCATGCCCAGCTAATTTTTGATTTTTTGTAGAGATGGGGTCTCACTATGTTGCCCAGGCTGGTCTCCAACTCCTGGGCTCAAGTGATCCTCCTACCTCAGCCCCCTAAAGTGTTGAGGTTACAGGTGTGAGCCACTGCACTTGGCCATAATATTGGTATTCTTATTTTAAACTAGAATATATACAGTTTCAAATAAAGCAAATGAAGACAAAACATGTTAATACCATCAGGGGCCAAGATTTTCGGGGTTAGAGAAAAAAGCATACAAGTATAAAGTCAAAGAAGTTGAAGAAACTCTCCAGTTTGAATAGGAGGCACCTGTGTAAGCTCTTGAACTCATGCCATATGTTTGTTTCATAAAAATACATTTTTTCCGCTGTGTCATCTGGAATTGCCCAGAAGCAAAGACGACTCAGGAGCCACAGTCCCCGGCACCCAGGCTGGCTCTGAGCCCCTCTCCCCACTCACCTGAACCAGGACTCTGGGAAGTGACTGAGCGCGGGCTGGGCAGCGGCACAGGGAGCTGCTGGAAGCCCAGGAGGCATCAGCAAGTGCAGTGTCACCCGCCACGCCGGCGTCCCCCTGTCGAGAGGGCAGCCCCCAGCTTGAAGGGCTCCCAGCGCCAGCCGGGGCACGACAGGCATCGAACAGACTAATGGTATAGTGATGGTAGAAAACATCAAATGTTTGAAACTCTGTGAATTTATCAAACCGCTTTCAAAACCTCCTGTCCCTCTCGGATGCTGTTAGGGCGCCAAGCCGTGATGCTGCGAACTGGCAAATAGGGGGAGGTAGAAAGCACGTGTCCCGGCTTTCCTGCGGGAACTTTCTCACCCAGCCGAGCAGCTCACGGGAGAAAGCTCTTTCCAGAGGATCTCCAGCGAGTAAACGCAGAAGGAGTGATGGGATCCGAAGATCACCGTTTTGCAAACCTTCAGGAAACGCCAGAGGTGAGCCACTGCCACGAGAGGGTCTGAGCCGTCAGGGCGGGAGTAGGGTAACACAGGGAAACCGAGTCCCTACAAGGAGAGAGCCGGCTTGAGACCACAGTTAGGGCCTGAGCCGAGGCAGCCTCCTGCTGTATTGAGCTCTAAGGCGGTCCAAAAACTCCCTCTGCGGGGCCACCCTCTGCAGCAGCACAGGCTGGAGGGGGTGCCAGCATCCTGCCCTCCAGGGATCCCAGGACCAGGGGCAGGAGTACCCAGTCCTCCTCTGGGGACCTGTGTGACCAGGCTGACCATCCCCAGAAGAGAGGCACCAGGACGCCCTGTGCCCCCACAAGATGCCAAGGGCAGAGGCCAGCACTGCCTGGCAACCCCAAGGCTGGAGGAAATGCAGGGAGGAGCTCATCAAATCCGGCCAGGCAGCAGCAGCAGCAGCCCGAGAGTGGGCATCCCATGGGACGAACGGCCCGGGATCCACACGCAGATGCCCAGAAAGCGAGAGGACAGAGGGCGCGGGGCGGGAAGACGCGCCTCGGCCGGGGCAGCAAGGAAAAGACGTTACAACAGCCGTTTTCAGTCAGGGAAATGTGAACAGGCTGAATATTTAGGGATCCATTGTGATGATTATATTGTGACTGTGTTTTCTAAAAAGGAGAGATTTTATCTGCTGGGGGCACATACCACAGTATTTATGGACACAGTGATAGGACGTCTTCATTTCATTTCAAATACCCCATGGGAGGATTTATGAGGCTAGAGGGAGGCTGGCTATCACTGAAGCTTGGTGATGCATTAATGGATTCATCTTCCTAATAAAAAGTTATAAAATTATGTAAGAGTGGATAAAAGAAGGACATTAAACAAAGGAAGTAAAAGGAAATCTCCTTACTGGCGGAGTCCCTGGGTGGTCTGTCTGATTCCAGCTGATACATCATCGTTACTGAAGGTCATAGGTCAGGCTGCTGGGAGTCTCAGGCTCCAAGGGCTGAGGGCGGGGGCTCCAAGGCGGTCTGCAGACCCCCTCTGTGGGGTGACCCTCTGCAGCAGCACAGGCTAGAGGGGTCCTAGCATCCTGTCCGCCAGGATCCCAGTACCTGGAGTGGGAGGGCCCAGCCCTCCTCTGGGTTCTCCTGGGGGCCGAGGAGTTGGGCCCAGGGCATTGTCGGGACACCAGGCCCTCCCATCGTCGGCTTCCTATGAACGCTTAGGCCAGGCCAGGGCAGAACAGTGGGTGAGGGCCTGTGTCTGGGGCCTGTGTCTGGGGCCAGGCTGCCTGACTCCCAACCTCTTCTCTCCCCTTCCTGCTGTACAACCCTGGGCAAGTTAGTGACTTTGCTGGATCTCAAAGTCCTCATCTGTAAGACGAGCATCATGCTGTGGGTGTGAGGAACCAATGGGAGCACGGCCGGCTGGCGGCACCTGCCCGGTGCATGGATCCAGGGTGGCTGGAACCCAATTCCACATTAACCTGGGGTCTGGCAGCCAGAACCACCAGTCTCTGGGAGACGACTGCCCGGGTCCCCAGCAGGCCAGAGTCAGGCCCTGTCTGGGTCCCCACAGCCCCCATGCCCGCGCTGTAAACCAGCCTCAGGGGCTGGGGAGGAGGAGTATTCCCAGCCATTTCCCAGGCAGAAGCCTTGGTGCTTCTGCTCTAATTAGGGCTGGGGGAGGGGACCTGGGGTCATCATCTCCAAGGTCAGTGGTCACCACATTCCAGGAATCACCACCAGCATTGGCCTCAAACTCCTCAGCACCAATTGACATAAAATCCATGGGAATTCAGCTGAAGCTTCACGCCTACAATCCCAGCACTGTGGGAGGCCAAGGTGGGAGGATCGCTTGAGCCCCTGAGTTTGAGACCAGCCCAAGCAACACAGTGATACCCCATCTCTACAAAAAGTACAAAAAACAATTAGCTGAGGGTGGTGGCACGTGCCTGTAGTCCCAGCTACTCAGGAGGCTGAGGCAAGAGGATTGTTTAAGGCCAGGAGTTCAAGGCTGCAGTGAGATATGATCGTGCCACCACACTGCAGCCTGGATGACAGAGCAAGACTCTGTCTCTAAAAACAAAACAAATGAACAAAAAATCCATGGAAATTCCCTCAGAGCCAGAAAATTGCTTCCAGCCTTTGGGAACGGAGTGTGGTTTGAGCTGCACCGACTGGGCACGGTGGGCCCCACTCTGGGAAGAGAGGTTTCTTTCTGCAGCTTGATCACCCCAGTGGACTAATGAGGCGAGCTGTTCCCAGGAAGTGTGCTTTACGTAACTGCTGGTAATGAGACTGGTGGGGCCGTGCGTGTGTGTGCGTGTGCGTGCTCGTGACTCTGGAAGCCTTCAAGCTGCCAGCATTCATCCGTCTTCTCTAATGAGCCTCATGGGAACATTATCGCCCTGGAGGAAGGAGAAAGCGGGGCTGGGCTCTCTCGCCGGCAGCTCTGCTCCAGAACTGGAAGAACTTACTGCTGTCAGGGACACTCCAGAGCTCCTGCCTCTGCTCATTCCTACATCACTCAAGTGAACAGCTCCTGAATTTAAAGAGGCACATGTACACATGCACAAGCATTCACACATGCACAAGCATTCACACATGCACATGGGCCACACACATATATGCGCACATGCATTCACGTGTGTACACACCACATGCATGTCCATAGGCACACATCCTCACATGCTATATATTGCACATGTACATGCATTCACACAGGCACACACCACATGTATGTGCACAGAGAGCTGCATCACACAGCACATGTGTATATAGACTCATGTACCACACACATTACATGCATGTGCACACAAACGTATCACACAACACACATGCATATAAATTTGCACCACACACCACACCACACATATGCATACAGACATGCGCCCCATGCCACACATGTACGTGCACACAAACATGTATCACACAGCACATGTGCATATAGTCAGCACCACACACATCACACACATGTGTATACATATCACACATAGACTTACACATGTGCAATGCATTCCCACACACACCATGTACATTCATATACCCACATGCATCACACACACTGCCACATATACACGTGTGTTGCATATGTGTGCACATGTACCACATATACCGCATACGTGTGCATGGGTGCATGCCACACACACACACACACACACCATGTACCTGTGTGTAGGTGCATGCACTCACATATACCATAGCTATGTACACACACAATTCGTATGTACACATATCTGCACATAGACCTGCATTTACATATATACCTGCCATAGAAGCCAGATGTGAGAATGAAAACCTCAGAACCCAGAAGCCGTTGTGAGAGGAGTGTGGTGATCAGGAGATGGACTGGGGCTGGGAGAAAGCCCCTCCCACGGGCTGCAGTGCTCGGGACTTACAGAAGACCCCAGGGTAAGGGACAAGCTGAGCAGCTGATGCTGGAGGCAAAGCTGAGGTGGGCAGCACGGCCCCCCAGGGCCGCCTCGGTCCCAGCGCCGACCGCGAGTCTGTCCTCCAGCTGCCTCGTTCACTGGGCTTGAGTCGACAAGAACCTGCCAGGGAGGGTGGCAGGACCACGAGGCTGGGGGGCCTCAGAGTTTGCCCTGCAATGACAAGACCCAGAATGGGGGAAGGGCCTCCGCACACCTGGGGCTCCGCGGGGACCAGGACGTGGTGGCGGCCGGATCCCAGGATGGGGGGGAAGGGCCTCCGCCTACCTGGGGCTCAGCGGGGACCAGGACATGGTGGCGGCCGGATGGACCCCAAAAACAGAGCAAGACTGACGGAGAGCGTGGATCAGGGAGGTTCTGCACCAGCTCTTCGCACAATGAGGAAAGATCTTGCTGCTACAAAATAGAAGGAACTCAGCAAACAACCTCTCTGAGTGGTGGGTAAAGATGCCCGCGCCCTGGCACATGTGGTACTAGAACCTCATGCTGTACAGGCGTTCCGCTCCGCTGAGGGCCTCCTGGACACCTTGAGTTTGAGGCCAGCAGAGGCCTGGCCTTGCTGCCTACCCACCTGCCTGGCCACTTGTCCACCGACAGCGTGGCCTGGGCCCTGGCAGTGGAACAGGGAGGCATCCCTAGTTTCCCCTCTGGCTCCGGGGTCTGAGTGGGGAGCCCCTGGTGTGGGGATGTGTTCATCCTCAGCTCTGCACCAGCCCCCACAGGCCCCAGGGTTAACCTGGGCCCACAGTTTCTAGGAAAGAGGGGCACGGGCTGAGGATGCAGGGCCCACCCTTCCTGTGGGGGCCAGAGGGCTCCTCTGCCTCTCCCAGGACCACTTCCTTCCTCCCACATGGATGACCCGGGGGTCCAACCCTGGAAAATCTGAGCAGCTTGGCTGTGGTTCAACCTCCTCTTTCCACTAGCCTGCACCTGGGACCCACTTCCTGCCGGCTGCCACTGCTGGCAGGTCCAGGGCAGCCCTGGCCATTGGTCAGCCCTGCAGCCAGCAGCCCACACAGAAACCACGCTGCCTCCAGCTTGGACCTCAGCATGCAGGGAGCTGTGGGGGCCTAGGCATCTGGGGAGGATCTGCCAGACTTGAGAAGCCATGAGGGCCAGGCACAGTGGCTCAAGCCTGTAATCCCAGCACTTTGGGAGGCCAAGGCAAGTGGATCACCTGAGGTCAGGAGTTCAAGACCAGCCTGGCCAACATGGTGAAACCCCATCTCTATTAAAAATACAAAAATCAGCCGGGCATGGTGGCAGGTGCCTGGAATCCCAGCTACTCGGGAGGTTGAGGAAGGAGAATCACTTGAACCTGGGAGGCGGAGGTTGCGGTGAGCCAAGATCGTGCCATTGCACTCCAGCCTGGGCAAAAAGAGCAAAACTCCATCTCAAAAAAAAAGAAAGAAAAGAAAAAAGAAAAAGAAAGAGAAGCCAGAAATCCACACCATACAAGGGATCTCAAGGGAACAGAAGTCCAGCTCCTCGGCCTGGCCCCCAGAGACTGGACAGTTGCCTGGACCCGGTGCCCAGGCCACGCTGTCCTGCTCCCTGTCCCTCCCAAAGACCCAGGCACCGAGTCCCGAGGGCTCCTGCGGCGGCTCTGTGCTCACCCCGCCAGCCCCTCCTCGGCCTCCTCCGGCTCTGGCTTCAAGGCTTTATCCCTGGTGCTCACAATCAGCCCCCCGCCCAGCAGTTACCTCCATCCAGGCACACACGGCCCTCGTTCCCCTCTCTGCCCGTGGGGCGCCTCCACAGATGGCTGGAGGACCCATGCAGACCCTCGGCTTGGTAGCCTGCTGCCCATTCCTGTGCCCACAGCCGGGGCTCCTGTGCCCACAGCCGGGGCTCCTGTGCCCACAGCCGGGGCGGCCTGACCTCGCAGCACAGGGTGTCAGCCGGGAGGATGCGGGGGAGGCGGCTGCCCAGCCTCCTGTGATCCCGGCAGGTCCTGGCCCTGCACTGGGCCCGGTTTCACCACCTGTCAGCCTCAGGGTAGGATTTTATGCAGAGTCACGCAGTTTACACACAAACACACACACGCTGGTATACACACGTATGTGCACACACATGCACAGGCAAGCATATACATATACATGCCGTTATAGATTGAACTGTGTCTCTCCCAAATTCACATGTTGGAGTCCTAACCCCCAGGATCTGTGAATAAACTTATCTGGAGATAGCATCTGCAGTTAATCAAGTACAAATGAGGTAATTAGGGTGTGTTTGTGTGTCTTTTAAAGGGGGAGGTCTGGACACCGTGTGGAGACAGCTGTGGGATGCATCTGCACACTGAGGAGCCATGATGGCTGTGGGACGCCCAGAAGCTGGGGGAGGCCTGGAGCAGCCTCTCCCTTACAGCCTCAGGGGGAATCAGCCTGCTGTGAGATAATAAATGTCTGTTGTTTAAGCCCCCAGTGTGTGGTGGCTTATTG
Source organism: Homo sapiens (assembly GCF_000001405.40). Lineage (NCBI taxonomy): Eukaryota > Metazoa > Chordata > Mammalia > Primates > Hominidae > Homo > Homo sapiens. Next base: position 45,353,557 of record NC_000021.9, read on the forward strand.
TGACAGACCTAGCAAACTGTGCACACAGACACAGGCACACAGGCAAAGGCACAGGCACACAGACACATACACACAGACACAGGCACACAGACACAGGTACACAGGCACAGGCACATAGGCACATACACAGAGGCCCAGACACACAGACACAGGCACACAGACACACAGGCACACAGGCATAGGCACACAGGCACACAGGCACATACACAGAGGCCCAGACACACAGACACAGGCACACAGACACACAGGCACACAGGCATAGGCACACAGGCACACAGGCACATACACACAGGTACATATACACAGGCACAGGCACACAGGCCCAAACACACAGACACAGGCACACAGGCACATACACACAGACACAGGCACACAGACACACAGGCACACAGACATAGGCACACAGGCACACAGACATAGGCACACAGACACAGGCACACAGGCAAAGGCACAGGCACATAGGCACCTACACAGAGGTACAGGCGCACAGACACAGGCACACAGGCACGTACACAGGTACAGGCACACAGGTGCACACAACTCACCCGTAGTCAGTAGCATCAACTTTAAAGTCCAGCATAGCAGGGCTCAGGACCTGGCTGGACCATATTCCATCTGTTCGACCTTGAAAAGGTAATTTAATGATTCTGAGCTTCAGTTTTCTCACCTGAAAACTAGGAATCATAATAGTCTCTTCTTCATAGGGTTGTTGCAAGAAGCCGGGACATTTTGCCCTGGGTTTGGCATGAGGGGCTGCAGTGTCTCCTGTACATGCTTTAAATATTTTTTAAAGTCTCAACTATTTGTACACTAAACAACACACGTCTAAATAATGTGTGGGTCAAGAAGAAATCGCATGCCAGGCAAGGTGGCTCTCGCCCATCGCCCCAGCTACTCGGGAGGCTGAGGTGGGAGGATTGCTTAAACCCAGGAGTCCATCAGCCTGGGCAATGTAGCAAGACTTAGCCACAAAAAAAAACTTTTAAAGAAGAAATCTTGAAGAAAATATTTTGAATTGAATCATCATGAAAATGCAGAATGTAAGAATTTGTGGAAATGCAGGCAAAGGGTGCTTAGAGGGAAATTTATAGCTTTAAATACTTAAGATTAGAAACAAAGAAAGGCTTAACATCAATAATATAAGTTTCCAATATAAGTAGCATAAAAGAGATAAGCAAATTAAACCCAAAAAGTAGAAAATAAATAATGAAAGTAGTAGCAGAAATTATTGAAATACAAAACAGATAAAAAGATCAACAAACCCAAAATTGATTTTTTTAGTTGTTAAAATTGTTATCTGTCAAGCAAGATCGATTTAAAAAAGAGAGAGAAGACACAAATTGCCAATATGTAGACTGAAAGAAAGAATATCAATGTGGATCCTTGAGACAGCACAGGATAATAATAAAACTTTATGAGCAACTTTGTCAGTAAATTTAACAACGTTGGGTGACACAAATTTCTGAAAAACACAACTTACCAAAATCAGCATGAAATGAAATAGAAAATCTGGATAGCCTTATGTCTACTTTTAATAACTGAATTCGTTATCAAACTCCTTCCACAAAGAAAACTGCACGCCCTGGTGGTTTTATGGTGAGTTGTATCAAATACGTAGGGAAGAAATAATGCTGATCTTTCACAAACTCATTCAGAAAACAGAAGAAGGGAGAACGTCTGCCATGGCCTGAATTTGCCCCCTCCCTGCTGCCAAAATTCATACCCTAACCCCAGCATCTCAGAAGGTGACTGTATTTGGAGAGGGGATCTTTACAGAAGTCATTAAGTTAAAATGTGGTCATTAGGGTTGCCCTGGCCCAGTCTGCTGGCGTCCTCGTAAGAAGAGCAGATGAGGGCACGGACACACACAGAGGGACGGCCCTGTGAGGACACAGGGAGAAGATGGTGTCTGCAAGCCAAGGAGAGACCCCAGGCACCAGCCCTGCCCCTCCTTGATCTCAGACCCCAGGCTCCGGGACTGTGAGAAGGAAGTGCCTGTTCGAGCCACCAGTTCTGCGCATTCTTAAGGTAGCCCAAACAAACTAATAAAATCCCTAGTGCGTTGTACCAGGCGGATGTAAGCCTGAGACGACACCTGACAAAGACATTATGATAAAACACAATTGGGGAACGTCCCGCACATCAACACAGACACAAAACACTCAACCAGATGTTAGCAATCACGGCCAGCAAGGGAAGTAAATGGTACACCACGACCAAACGTGCTTCCGCCGGGAATGCAAGAGCCGTTTACTGTTTGAGCATCAATCAGTGTCATTCACAGAAGCAGAAAACATGATCATTCAATAAATGCAGAGAAATCATTCAACAAAAAAGCAACACCCATTATCACAGATAAGAACTCGAGACAGGCTAAGAACAAAGTGAAACTTTCTCCATATGATATGGCCACGTATGAGGAGCCTACAGCTAAAATCAGATGTGATGGTGGAATGCCGACCTTACACAAACTCATTCAGAAGACAGAGGAAGAGGGGAGAATTCCTGCTCTGTCCTGAATTTGCCCCACTCCCTACTGCCAAAATTCACATCCTAACCCCAGCATCTTGGAAGGTGACTGTATCTGGAGAATGGGATCTTTACAGAGGTAATCAAGTGAAAATGTGGCCATTGGGCTGGGCCTCCCTAACAGTGTCCCTCTCACTCTGTGAACGGGGTGAGGCTGTCTGCCTGGCCACTTCTGTTCAATGCCGTACTGGAAATTATAGCCAATGCCACAAGGTGAGACAAATGAGAGTCGTGCAGTTTGGAGAGGGTGCCTGTTATGAAGGTGTGGTCTTCCACCCAAACCCACCCTCCGGACCCCATCCTGAGCTGCCGGGGCTGGGACCCCACAAACCACATCTCTGCTCAGCCTGCCAGCATCCCCTTAGACTGCCAATAAGGGGCGCTGGAGAGACCACCAAGGTCCAAAAGGACAGGAGAGTTCAGGCGAGTGTTCTGGGTTCAGGGAGATTGGAGACATGACGGTTAAATTCCACGCGTGCTCCTGCACTGCACCCTTGGGTGGGAAGGAACATTACTGGGACAGTGGACAAGAATGGGAAATGGACTGCCCGCTAGATGGTTGTATCACATCATTAGGTGATTACACCAAGGGGCGTTCCCTGCAGGCACACGCTGAGGTCCACAGTGGGGAGTGGACATGGTGACCCCGCCTTGCTGGGGCTCAGAAGCTGGTACCTGAGATACAGCTTTGATGTGAACCGAGGCAGCCTCAAGGTCTCTCTGACCTCCCTGCTCCTGTCTCTCCCAAAGCACGAAGTTGTTCCCTGAATCTCCCTTATCTGCCTGAAGTCCCTACCGGCCAAAGAAGAAAACAATGACCCGGAATCCCCTCCCTGCGTTTCCATTAACTGAGCTTCTATCGCAAGAAGAAAGGCCGAGGTTTGTCAACACACCTGGCAAATGTCACAACCATTGTCTGCTCCAGCGGACTTTGTTCCAGGCCATTGTCCGTGCTTCAAGCCCATTGAATTCCCTAAAAATCATTTACTACCACCCTAAAGTCACCCACACTGCCCCATCTCCTTTCCCCCAAGAAGAAGGGTGCATGGCCGTCTGTGGCCCCCCGGGGTTTGGGGTAATCGTCCTCCTAAGATCCTCCATGCTATGCACATTAGAACACATGTCAGCCTTTCCTCCAGTTAATCTGCCTTCTGTGAGTTGATTTTCCAGTGAAACTTCCGAGGGCAAAGGGGAAGTTTTTCCCTTGGCCTCTGCGCGCCTACTTGTTTTTTTTTTTTTGGTTCTAAAAACACTTTTGAGTGAGGGAGAGGAAGTGTGATAAAGAAAATGGGGCAAAATGCACAAAGTTAGTGAGTCCGAGTGAGGTGCTCCCTCTCTATCCTCGCAACTTTGTCTTCTAAGTTTTAAATTTCAAAATATAGCAGTGAAAAGAATGAGAACGTTAAGTCCCGGAAAAGCCATGATTTCTCGCTCAGGGAAGTGGCCACGTGTCCGCGATCGCAATCAGCGAGGCTCCGACTCCAGGACTGCGAAGCGGTTCCACTGTCAAACACGCCGAGCCGGCGCGTTTCACAGCTGCCCTCAGCTCCTGCAGCTGGGAGCATGTTTTTCCAATCAGACGTTCTTTCGCAGAACAAGAATGTTCAGTTTTTTGCTTTCGGTCTCACTGTTGGTGACGCTTTCCGGCTGCGTGGGGCCGGACACACACAGGCCCACACCACTCATTTCTCTCTTCACCAGCCAGCTTAGGATTGCTTGACCACTGAATGCATATTCCCACACGCCGGGCACTCTCAGGGCACGGGGGGTGTCAGGAGCAAGACAGCGAGCTGGCCCCTGCCGCACCTGTGGGCTGCTGGGTGGAGAGTCCTGGTTTCACAGCATGTCCAACGTGGAAGGAATAGACAGGCCCCCGGGGTCCTGTGGTTTTCAAAGTCTTCAATCCGTTTCGTACACGGCAGCACTGGGATAAACGAGGCCCAATATGTGAAGCGAAAAGCAGCCCTGATCTGCCTGAAGGGGGAGCTGCCCCGGGACCTCCTGAGTCCCATGCCCTCTCCTGAGCCCCTTGATCTCCCATGGGGGCCCCAGGGACCAGGGCACTCAGGGCAGCCAGCAACTCGGGCCCCACACTCGGGCCTGGTGGTTGATGCCGGGAAGGGCCCAGCTGCACAAATGCTGCCCGATGGGTGAGGCTCGAAGCACAAGGGGCAGCCTCTCCCGGAGCAGCCGCGGCCCCCATCAGGCCACCTTCTCCAAGCCCCTTCTCTCCATGCTTTGTTTTGCTTTTTGTGTGTGGTGGACACATGAGTGACCTCCCGCCAACAAATCTGACCAGTGATGACTAGCGACCATTCCTGGCTGCTCTGTGAACCGGGGCCCCGTCCACACAGAGAACCTGGATTCACAGCCAATTCCAGGACTGAGAGCTTCGCTCAGGTCAGAGCCAAGATCCGGGGATCCAGCCGTTCCACCACTGGCCACATGTTCCTTGGTACCCGAGCCTCTGCTGCCCGGGGGGACCATCGAGCCAGAGCCCCCAGGTAGGCGAGGGGCCTGGGTGGAATATGACGGAACAAAAGATGATGGAACAAAATAGCCTCATTATTTCACACCAAGTATGGAAGAGCAGTTCCCCCAACTAGCATGTTCTGTGTCATGTTCCACGGCTGTTGGCTGTGAGCACAGCCTGGCCACACAACTCCATGAATAGGTGCCACCACTATCCCTACTTGACAGAGCAGGAAACTGAGGCACAGGGAGGCTGCACAGCTGAGCAGCACAGAGCTTGGATTTGCAGCCGGGGAATCAGACGGCAAAGCTGTAGTCCACCAGCTGCCCAGAGGGCCACAGAGAGGTGTGGGGCCTAGGACAGTGCGCCTGAGGGTCCCAGCCTTTGGGAACCCGGGGCATAGCCCAGGAATGAGAAGCCGAGCAGATGGACAGGGAGGGGAGCATCCTGGCAGCAGAGGTGGCTTAGGGCATCTGAGGGGGTGGGGGCCAGCCCTGCAGGCCCTGGGAAGGCGGGCTAGTCTGGGCGCAGAGCAGGAGAGCGGCATGGAGCGGGGTCTGTGCGTGGGTTGCCCCTGCACTGGAAGCAGCTAGGGGCAGGGCCAACCCCACTGAACCTTCCCAGGGTTCGCAGCCCCAGGGAGATGCCTTCCTCAGCTCAGCTTTTAATGCCTCCTCCGGCACTCCCCATTGCAGCCCCAGGAGTCCCTCAAGGGGCTATACCTCCCACTCCCTCATGCTCACCAGCCAGAAAATGCAATGGAAAAAAGGACCTCATATTCACAGTTGCAGGCACACGCAAACGTTAACACAGGCAATCTGCACTGTGTATGGCCAAACACGAGTGAACTTTTAAACTGCAGTGTGAGCTTTAGGCACTTGGAGGGCGGGAAGCCCCACATCCCCTGACCCCTCACGCGTCCATCCCTCTGTCCTCATGGGCACCGGGTGAGGCCTCGGGGACAGGGAAACTGGACGGGCCCCACTGCTGTCCTGGGCCTTCCTCCCGTGCAGGTGATAAGGAGGTGAGAGCATCGTGACGGCTGGCACAGGCCTGAGAGGGAGGGGATGGGGGCTGCTCTAGGTGGGGTCGGGAGGCCCCACTGGGGAGATTCCTCCAGGAGACCCAGAAAGCTGGAAGCCGCCAGCCTATGCAGAGGGCGCTCCCTCCTCATGGATACAGTCCCCAGAGAACCCCCCCGCAAGGGCCTTAAAGCGAAGGCTTGTTCTGAGGTTCACCAGGACAAGCAAGTGTGGCTTTGCCCTCTTGCCATCCACACCCCTGGGACATCCAATCAGGACCAGCGATCGTCCACTGCCTAGACCAGACCCAGTCATCCCCGAATTCATTATGTGGGAACTGAGGAGGGGGCTCCAGGCAGGGGGATCGTGCAGGTGGTCTTGGTGTCCAGGAGGCCTCACAGTATCCACTCACCGCCGTCTCCACCCCCTCAGGCACAGGTCCCTGTCCTCATCCTCATCAGTGCGGTCCCACAACTCAGGTGCGGCCCCCACTCCCCTTCCCGCCAACCCCCTTCCCCGGCCCTGCCGCCCTTCCCCGCCCAGAGGGAAACATGAGCATCTCAGAACAAGAGACAAAGCCCAGGCATTCAGGGAGGATAAAGGGGGAACGCAGCCCCCACCAAAATCTTCCCCAGACACAATGAGGTTTTATCAGCCCATTGTATTAAGCGGAATACGAGTCCCATAAAGCCCCCACACCCTGCTCCCTCCCAGGAATGTGTGGCTCTGTGCAGAGGGGACTGGTCACTGTGATGAAGGCCAGGCACTCTGACACGGGAGGTCTGGTTATCTGCTGGTAATCCTTAGGGGCCCTTATCCAGGGAGGCAGGAGGGCCCGGGGGAGGCACAGGACTGCAGCAGGGACTGTGGGCGGGGAAAGTGGGAGAGCGATTCTCCTGGGGGGCCAGGAGGAGCGGGCCCTGCCCACCCCAAGTGACTCCTTAGGAGCCATGAGATAATGAATCTTTTTTTTTTTTTTTTTGAGATGGAGTCTTGCTCTGTCGCTCAGGCTGGAGTGCAGTGGTGCGATCTCATCTCACCGCAACCTCTACCTCCCGGGCAGTTCTCCTGCCTCAGCCTCCCAGTAGCTGGGACCACACATGCCCGCCACCACGCCTGGCTAATTTTTGTATTTTTAGTAGAGATGGAGTTTCAACATGTTGGCCTGGCTGGTCTCGAACTCCTGACCTCAGGTGATCCGCCCGCCTCGGCCTCCCAAAGTGCTGGGATTACAGGCATGAGCCACCGCGCCCGGCCGGATCTGTGTTGTTTTAAGCCACTGAGTTTGTGGTCATTTCTCACAGCAGCCACAGGGAACTCATACAAACGTGGAAGCAGATCATTTCAGGGGAATTGAAAATATGCCACAAATGGAGAAATGCCACAAAAAATTTTAAGTTAATAAAAATCGCACAGATAGGAAGAGAAAGTATTATCATCTATGAAGGGAAGAGCTTCGGGGGCTGTGGCTCTGAGAGCCTGAGCAGAGGGCAGAGCTGGGTGGCTGGTGAGGACGCTGGGCCAGCTTGGGGGCTTCCATTAGGAGCCAAGACCAGGTCCTTGTGTGTCCCTGGGGCAGGGTGAGGGGTCTGGGGTGCTGTGGCCTCGCAGGTGGCGGGGGCGGCCAGAGACCACTGCTAAGATCAGCCTCATGCTCTGTGCGAGGGCTGAGCCGAAAACAATCTTGGGGGCCCCACCTCGAGGCCCCGGGGTAGGGAGGAGGGGAAGCTGATGCACTTATTCCTGGAGGCTGAGGGGAGGGTGCCCTGGGGACCCTCCCTGCTATTAGAGACTGCGCAGGCCGCTACCCCAACCCCCTCTTGTCCCAGAGACAGGACAGGAGAGACAGACGGGAGAGGCAGGCAGATGCCTCCAGCAGCCATGGGACAGAGTCCAGATGTCTTAACGGCCGCATAAAATGGGGCATGTGGGCTACCCAAGGAGTGGCCCAGGACTCACAGGAAGCCACCCTCCCGGGCTGGAATCCCAAAAATCCAAGCCCCACTCGCAGTCCTAAGTCTTCCTGCAGAAAACCTCTCCCCCTGGATAAGCAAAGATCCCTGTGAGCTCAGCCCGACCCCTGCCTAGTCCCTGCTCCCAGCTCCGCAGTCTCCAGGCAGCCATGGTGCCTCTGGCTGAACCATCCACCTGAGGACCCATACGGGCCAGAGCCAGTGCTTGGGGTCCCCAGCGGCCTCCCTCCCTGCTGCCTCAGCTGCCCCTCTACAGCCCTGGTCACCTGCAAGTCATCTGGCCAAGAAGGCTGACCCAGAGGCCGGACTGCCTCGTCACGCCGGCAGGGCCCCTCGCAGGGGCACGCTGACAGCAAGGAGGCTCTTAGTGAAACTCAAGGATCTTGGCAGGAGGTGAAGGCGGTGCCCGAGCCCCCCTGCCTGGCGTGGCCTCAGTGAGCTCCCTGCCCTGCAAGGTTTGGATTTCAGGTCCTAGGCCAGCTCCCCACTGTCCTGCCTGTCTGAATTCCAACAGATTTTATTTGAAAATGTTGCTTTTAGCCCAGCGTCACCTCTGAGCTGCGACTTTATGTTCATCATGTGCTTCTTCCCCCACTTCTACCTGCAGACCCAAGAGCAGGGCCGGGTCTCCTCCCCTTAGGAGCAGGGTGAGGGGGTCTGGGAAGCCCCCGCCCACCTCCCTGATCACCTGGCCCCAAGCTCTGCCCAGGCCCCCTACCTGCATCCAGCCACACCCCACCTGTCCCCAGACCCAGGACATACCACCCCTCTCACGTCAGCACCTTTGGGGTGGCATCAGGACTTTGGGGACAGAGCAAGCGTGGAGAGGGGACCCCTCCTTGTGAGCAGGAGAGAGAAGCAACCTGACCACACCAGGCGGGGAGAGAGAGAGAGGTCATCCGGAAAGAGCTGCCAGTGAGCCCATTCCACAGGGGTGCTGGGACCCCGAGGACACAGCCCTGCCTGTCCCAGGGCCCAACAGTGACTGCAGTGAATGTCCTCAAGCATCAGCTGCTCGATGGCAGCCGGGGTTTCTGACTGACCCTGTGGGGTTTTCTCCATCAAATTCCTTTGAACATCTTTGTCCTTAACGATCCTGACTGATCTCAGTTGTTTAGGCCTCTTCTTGGCTGCCAGGCGCACACTCAGGTGTGCTTTGCTTTTAAACGCTGAGAAACCCTCGGCAATGTTTTCTTTTCTTTTGAACATCACTACAGCAGCCCCCAGGAGGGGTGGGTGGTCCCACCGACAAGGGCCCCCAGGGCCCACAAAAGGCCACTCTCTCATCCCAAAGTGCATCGTGCCCTGAGCCTGGAAGTCGGGTCTGGCCTTCAAGTAGGAGAGGCCAAGCCCCACAGAACCCCCAAGGGCGAGCGGGAGAGTGGGCGAGTGGGCGCTTCCCCGACGCCCCTCCTTGGGGCTCAGCGTCACCCTCCCGGCCTGAGTCGGCCCCTGCTGGACAGCTCTGTTCCTGGGTTTGGTGACAACTCTCCCACACCCAGGGCTGTGACTTGGGGACACTGGTCTGTGGAGTCTGTGGATTCTGCGGACACCTGGTCTGTCACAGAGAAGCCCCGTTAGTCCTTTTTCCCAGCAAGAACACAGTCAGGGAAAGACCTCCATCTCCACGGCCTCCTCACAAAGACACTGTGAAGACTGAAAAATTAAGCCACACAGTGAGAGAAGCTACCGTACGTGTCATTTCTTAGGATTCACGGAGGTCTTTTGTCGAGAATGTATGAAGAACTCTGACAAATCAATGAGAATAAAGCACCCGGCTGGCAGAGGCAGGGACAGACCGAGGCGCGTCGCGATGTGGGTGTCCGGTGAGCACGTGGGAGGGGCCCAACCTCACCCATCGTCCGGGAGGTGCAGACTAAACCCTGAGACGCCGTCCTACCCCAGAGAGGCCAACATTTCAAAGATCCACAGTTCCAGGCGGTGGGCAGAGTGCCACGGCCGGTGTGGAAAATGGTGGCTGGCATCCACTCCAGTCTAACGTTTCGTACCTGGGACCCGGCAGTCCCAGGCCTCAGTGTGTGTTCTGGGTAGGAAGCACCTACTGGTGTTCACCCAAAGACATGAGATTGTTTATAGCATCATTATTCCCAATACCCCTGAACTGGAAAGAACTCAGATGACCACTGGCAGTGGGGTGGGGGTGGAACAGCCACGTAATAGAACACGGGGTGGCGATGAAACCAGCTCCTGCAATGTGCAGCCACATGGCTGCATCTCACAACCGGGAAGCACCTGTCGGGAGGCGCTGTCCCTCCCAGCCTTCTGCAAGCACAAGGTGGGCACCTGGGAGGAAGGATACCCTTCATGCTGCGGCCGGGGGCCTCGCCCACTCTCCACACCCAGCCCCGGCCCAGCCACAGCCTGGCTTGTGCTGTGACCACTGCTCCTTCTCTCGCTAGACTGGGTGCTCCTGAGCGTGGACACTGGGCCTCTGGTCATCTGTGTGAGCTCTGCGTGGTGCCTGACACACAGTAGGAGCTTGGCGAGTGTCTGCTGAGTCAATGAGAAAGGAGTGTAGGGCCAGAAACACGGGCCGACGGCTCCCTGCCAGTGAGTCACTCTCGGGGCACTGCTGAGTCATAAGTTCCTTTCACTTTGGATGGATTTTTAATTGTATGTTCTGAACAGATGGAAATTTCTTGGCTGTTGGGAGTCAAACTGTGGATATTTGGTGAGTGTATCCAAAAGGAAGTGGCCGCAGTATGAGTCACCCAGGCCATGTGAACTTTGATGGGGGAAACAGAACCAGCAACTTCTGCTGGTTCACGACCAAAGGAAGCAGTGCCGGAGCGTGAACAATGGGGTGCAGGCGGCCAAGTTCTGAGTGGCTGCTGGGAGCGCTTTCCCACTGTCTGCGGAGCCCGTGACACCACAGTGTCCCTCGAACATGCGGGGATGGCCGGCCAAATCACCCAGCCTGCTTTCACGAGCGACCGCTGAGCTGTGTTGCGGCAGTCCCTCCCAGGGCCGCTGGGCCAGGCCCAGCTGCGGGGTAGAGGAGAGGATGGGGAGAGGGGCCTGAGATGGGGCAGGGAAGTCTGTGAGCTCAGCCCGGGACCTGGGGCCAAGCACCAGGAGGCCAGGGGGAGTCTCCAGGGGCTGGGGCTGGAGCCGCATCAGAGAGGAAAGGGGTGTTTGAAAAAGGGGCAGGGCCTGGGACCCAGGAAACTGTTCTTCCAGAGACACCCGTGAAGCTGAGCTTTGCCTCTCAGGGAAGCTGTGACCCCACGGGTGCTGCCCAGAGAGATCGGGCCAGGTGGAGCCAAGATGGACTGGAATTCCCCGACGGGGACAAGGGGCCGGACGAGGCTGACTTGCCCTGTCTGATGAATGGTCAGGTTTGCTTTTTCTCCTGAAAACACGAGGCAGTGATCCCGGCCAGCTAATTCCAGCAGACTGGAGACGGGATGGTGGAGAATGAGGCTGTGGGCGGGAAGAGCAGATGGGACTCGCCAGCATCCTCACGGCAGGGCCGCGCTATTGCCCTCCCTCCCCTCCTACTCTCTGGGGTCCCAGGAGCCCCAGATACGCAATGCTGCCAGGCGATTTCTGGCGCCCCGCAGACCCCTGCCCCTGGAGTTGGGCCAGGTCCCGGCTGGAGCAAAGGGGGCTCCTTCAAGCCCGCTCCTCCCTGTCAAACCCGAGGAGCCTGACAGGCGCAGCGTCACCAGCGTCACCGGGCCATAGTGAGCGGCCAAGCCAGCGTCACCGGGCCATAGTGAGCGGCCAAGCCAGCGTCACCGGGCCATAGTGAGCCGCCAAGCCAGCGTCACCGGGCCATAGTGAGCCGCCAAGCCAGTGTCACCGGGCCATAGTGAGCGGCCAAGCCTTGGTCTGCCAGAGCCGGCCGCACCAGAAGGATTTCTGGGTCCCCAGTCCTGGAGGAGCACACGGTTTACACCAGGCCTTGGGAGGGGAAGAGGCAAGGCGTGGGCCCAGCCCTCACTCCCCAGGAGAAACCCTGTTTGAGCGGCAGAGGAGACTGGAGAGACCCCAGGGCGGGGATCCCTGAGAGGAGAGAAACCCGGAATTCATCCACGGAGGCGTTCACCCAGAGGAGACCCGGAGCTTCTCCAGGAGAGGCTGGATTGCTCCAACAGGGGCCCTGAGGAGCTGATGGCAAGAGCGGAAGGCAGCTCTGACTCGTGCGTCTGACTCCAGGTGTGGCCGTTGGGGCTACAGTGGGACCAGCCTGTTGTCACTGAACCCACAAAGTGCCTCCGAGCGCGGGTGGAGAGAGGGGGACCTCCCACCGTCTGCTGGCCTTGAATCTTGAATCTAATTCCCGTCTGTGCTTTGATGGGAGAGGCACTGGGAGCGGGCGGCTTTTTCAGTTCCTTTTATCTTGAATGGCCTTTGGGGGATTTTCACAGATTCTGAGTTCAAAGCCCAGGGAGGTGTGGGAACGTGACATTCCTCACCGCATTCCTCACCGCATTCCTCTGTAAACCAGGCGGTGTTGGCACCCATGAGCCTGTGTCTTCTATGACATCAGGAGTTTTATCCCTCACGTCAGAAATCAGGGTTCCAGGCGCCTTGGTTTTTCTTGGCGCCAGCGGCTTGGCTATAGAAGAAAAACTGAAGGGGCCAGGTGCGGTGGCTCACACCTGTAATCCCAGCACTTTGGAAGGCCAAGGCGGGTGGATCACGAGGTCAGGGGTTCGAGACCAGCCAACATGGCAAAACCCCGTTTCTACTAAAAAAATACAAAAATTAGCCGTGCATGGTGGCGGGCACCTGTAGTCCCAGCTACTTGGGAGGCTGAGGCAGGAGAATCACTTGAACCCAGGAGGCAGAGGTTGCAGTGAGCCGAGATCATGCCACTGCACTCCAGCCTGGGTGACAAGAGCAAGACTCCGTCTCAAGAAAAACAAAACAAAAACAACAACAACAACAAAAAAGAATCACTGAAGGAAGAGTCTCTGGGGCAAGGAGGCTACACAGGGCTCGGCTCGCGTCCTCTCTGTCTGGGCCACTCCTGGGGCCTCCGGGTCAGCGGCGGGGCGGGTGGTGGTGTGCACTCGGCCCCTCTGAGATGCGAGGTTGCAGTATTGGCATGTATGAGAGGTGGTGCGTGAGCTGCTTCCAGGGAGGTGCTCCCACTGGGTCGCCTGGTGAGGGGGACAGCCTGGCGGGGTTGGCCGTGGCACAACCTCCTTCTGGCAGTGAAGGACCCTCAGGCCGAGGGCTGACCAGAAGTCAGCATGGGCTCAGATGCGTTTCCAGCCCACTATGGGAAGTTCACACAGAATTAAACAGAGGAGTGAGAGTCCGACCCCCTCCACCTGGCCCCGTTCTCCCGGCCACCTCACGGGTCCTTGGGGTTCAGACTCAGACCTGTGGGGTGAGAGAGAGCAGAAGGTGCTGGGGAGAGGAGCTGGAGGTTGGAGAAGGGAGGTTGGATGCAGTTGGCGGCCCTCCAGGCTCTGGAGGGTCAGTGGGGCCTGGGAAGAGAGCAGCCGCAGAGGTGACTCAGGCCCAGCTGGCGGGGGAGGGACGCAGCCCTCGCTGCAACTGGACGTGGGGTGGGGCTCCCAGGCCTGGTCCTCCTGGCTCTGGAGACCAGCAACCAGCCTGGCCTCTGGGGGCCACTTCCAGCCAGTGCAGTGCTGTGCGTCCCACGCCAGCCTTTCCCCGACCTCTGCACCAGTTCCCTCCACACCCGGCCCATGGGCATCCGGCCCCAGCCGCTCATTCCAGATATAAGTACACGTGAGCCCCTCTCCCACTGCTGGCTGCCAAGGCTGGGCTGTGGGGTGGCGCCTTCTATCTCTGCAGATTCCTCTCCTCTCTGCCTCTGCCTGGTGAAACACTCCTCCATAACCATCATGTACAGTCCCTGACAACTGCACAAAGGCTAGGGAAATAAGGGGACCCCTGGGAAAGGTACTCCTGGGGGTCCCAGATGGGGAGGTTCTGATGCGTGTCCAGGCATGGCCAGCGTGGCTGAGGAGACGAGGCTGGGTGTCGCCTGGAGCTCCAGCAGGGAGACCAGGCATCCTGGAGGCTGTGCCTGGCCTGTCCGTCCCACACGGGGCAGAGCTAACCCAGGCCACATTGCTGGCCTGCCATGCACTGTGCAAAAAGCATTTGGAGAGAGAAAGAAAAGTTTGTGTCCTCAGTTACAAGGCACAGGGTGAAGTCCTTGTCCTTGGGATCCCATGGTCAGCCCCTGGGCGTGGCTTTTGAGCCCAGTGGGTCCAGAGGGGACTCAGTGAGGTCTTGTCTTGCAGAGTGTGTGTGGCAGTGAGGGGAAGAGGTTCATCTGCTGCAGGGCCTGGGAACTCCTGACACTTGGTGTGGCCTTGACCACCGGGAGCAAACGCAGTGCACACGGCAACCGGCTCTGACAAGGCAGATGCTCCTGCCCAGGGCAGGTCGGACCCTGGCTGAGGGAGACACAAACCTGAACGGGCTCTGACAAGGCAGATGCTCCTCCCCAGGGGGTTTCAGACTCTGGCTGAGGGAGACACAAACCTGGGAGTGGAGGGGAGTTTAGCACTGGATGGCCCACATGCAGCTAGGATGGCCGCAGTACCCAGGCTGGAGCGAGCGGCTTCTGGGGCCCAGGAGAGGCCCTCGAGCCCGCTGTCTTCCCGGCTGTCATCTCCTGGCAGGGATCTGCTGGGGAAATAGAATCTGACGCAACGTATTTTCCAACCCAGAAAACCTCTTCAGAAAGGTGGAAGAGAAAAAGCAATTCTATTACTGAGTAAGCGTTAAAGCCAGAATGCGAGGTGCGGCTGGGGCAGCCCACTGAAGGCATCGCAGAGACAGAAACCTCACTCCTTACAGCCGAGTGAACACTGAGCACCTGTGCCTTCAGGGGGGTTTGCAGTTTGGCGAGTGAGGCCCGCTGCTCTGAGGCGCTAATCTCCCAAGGAAACGTTCCTGAGTTGAGCCTGGGCAGAGGCTTCCTTAGCTAGAAAACAGATTTACATACATTTGAAAAGGACAGAGAAAGACTTAGAAGAGGAGAGAAGAGGGAGACTCTGTCCTTATTCTGCACAGGGAGGACGGTGTGTGTCCTCAGTTCCTCGCAGGCCACCCTGCAGCTCTCCTGCTGGGCAGCCCATGGGACACAGAGCGAGAGGACGGTTTGGAGGTGGAGGAAGCGAGGGAAGGACCCTGAGTTGGCTGGGACGTCCAGGCACCGTGGGGATGGAGCCTTATGCCCGGGGCCCCTGGGAGAAGGGCTGTAGTGAGCCACAGCACAAAGGACATCCTTCCTCCCAGGTGCCCACCTTGTGCTTGCAGGATCCTGGGAGGGACAGCGCCTCCTGACAGGTGCTTCCCAGTTGTGAGATGCAGCCATGTGGCTGCACATTGCAGGAGCAGGTTTCATCGCAGCCACGTGTTCTATTATGTAGCTGTTCCACCCCTACCCCACTGCCAGTGGTCGTCTGAGTTCTTTCCAGTTTAGGGGTATTGGGAATAATGCTGCTATAAACAATCTCATGTCTTTGGGTGAACACCAGTAGGTGCTTCCTACCCAGAACACACACCGAGGCCTAGGACTGCCGGGTCCCAGGTACGAAACGTTAGACTGGAGTGGATGCCGGCCACCGTTTTCCACACCGGCCGTGGCACTCTGCCCACCGCCTGGAACTGTCAATCTTTGAAATGTTGGCCTCTCTGGGGTAGGTCGGCGTCTCAGGGTTTAGTCTGCACCTCCCGGACGATGGGTGAGGTTGGGCCCCTCCCACGTGCTCACCGGACACCCGCATCGCGACGCGCCTCGGTCTGTCCCTGCCTCTGCCAGGCAGGCGCTTTATTCTCATTGATTTGTCAGAGTTCTTCATACATTCTCGACACAAGTCCTCTGTGAATCCTAAGAAATGACACGTACGGTAGCTTCTCTCACTGTGTGGCTTAATTTTTCAGTCTTCACAGTGTTTTTGATAACAGAAGTCCTTAAACTTCATGTAGTCCTTGTGATACACTCTTCTGGTATCTGTGTAAGATATCATGATTATATATTTCCTTATTTCACATTCTAAAATCTCTATTATTTTATCTTGAGAGCAATAATCCATATGGAACTGATACTTTAGCATGATGGGAGGTGAGATCGGGATTCATTTCCTCCGATTAGAGACCCCATCCCTGCAGCGCGGCTTGTTGAAAAGCCGCCCACATGGCACCGCTTGTTGAAAGGCCCTCCCGGCTGGGCGCGGTGCCTCACGCCTGTAATCCCAGCACTTAGGGAGGCCGAGGCGGGCGGATCACCTGAGGTCAGGAGTTCGAGGCCAGCCTGACCAACATGGCGAAACCGCGTCTCTACTAAAAATACAAAAATTAGCTGGGCGTGGTGGCGAGCACCTCTAATCCCAGCTACTTGGGAGGCTGAGGCAGGAGAATCACTTGAACCCAGGGGGCGGAGGTTGCAGTGAGCCGAGATTGCGTCACTGCACTCCAGCCTGGGCAACAGAGCGAGACTCTGTCTCAAAATAAATAAAAAAATAAGAAAAGCCTTTGCTGCTGAGCCACAGTCACCTCTGTGGTTTCTCAGCTACTTTGACATCATGGCAACTGTAGTGGCTTTCTTCTGCTTGGTGTTTAAATGATATATTTTTGCATTCCTTTACTTGCCATTTTTCTGTGTGTTTTTTGATGTATCCCCCATAAACAGAATATTACTGGATTTTGCTGCCTTCTCTAAACCAAGTCTGACAATGTTTGAGTGTTTGCTCACTTGCCATTGATGTAACCTCGAATATGTGGGGTTTCCACTGCCATCCTGCAGGTGGGCTTCCCTTCCTGTTCCAAGTTCCTTGTCTTCTCCTTTATCTTCTTTCTTGTTTTATTACCTATCTTTCTATTATTTTATACTCTCCTTCTATTCGCTTGCTTGCTACAGATTCTTTTAGTGTTCTATTAGTGGTGACTTCAGAAATTACAATATGCATCTTTGATTTTTAAGAATCTAATGGAAGTTAGTTTTTTACCTCTCCCCAGACAACGCCAGGACCTTTGAACTCTTTAATTCCATGATTCCTTGTGATAGATAGAATGACCCCTCCCCCAAAGATGTGCTTGTTCAAATCCCTAGACCCTGTGAATATGTTATGTTACATATTACACAATTGAAAAGAGACTTTTAATGAGGGTTGCGGTCTTATGACATCATCTGGACGGGCCCAGCCTGAGCACGTGAGCCTTCGAGGGCAGAGAACGTTCCCTGGCCCGTGCTGGAGCGATTCACTGGCTCATGATACGGAGATCATCTGGACGGGCCCAGCCTGAGCACGTGAGCCTTCGAGGGCAGAGAACGTTCCCTGGCTCGTGCTGGAGCGATTCACTGGCTTGGAAAAGAAGGGGAGGATGATGGGGAATGTGGGACCTTCAGGAGCAGAAGCCCCAGCTGACAGCCAGGAGGGAGAGGGGGCCCTGGGCTCACAATTGCAAAAACCTGAATTCTGCCGACAACAATAATGGGCTCAGAAGCGGGTCCTCTCCCAGGCCTCCCGCTCAGAGCCCAGCCGGCCAACGCCTGGACTCTGGCCGAGAGACTCTCGGCAGCAAATCCAGTGGAGCCCCCCGACTTCTGACACCAGAAACCGTCTGTGAGTGCAGGTCTGCGTTCTCAAGCCGCTAAACTCACGGAGATTTCTACGCAGCTGCAGAAGATGAATGCATCTCCCTTCTACGCCTTCTGCTGTGGCGGCCGTGAGTGTTAACCCACTGCTTCTAAACCCGTGAAGCCTGTCATGTGACGCTGATGTCCTGTGACTCTGGTGGTCCCTACCCCCCAAGGCCTCCACACCCCCCTCTCTGTGCTGTGTTCTGTGGGCCACGGCCACCCCTCATCAGAGCAGCCCCCTGGGGATCCCTTCCAGTGGTTGGAAGCAAACACTTTCTATTTTCCTGTGTCTGGAAATGCTTGTATTTTGACTTCATTTTTACAGGATATTTTTCCTGGATATAAGATAGTTGGTTACTGAGCAATGACATAAATTACAATATTATTGACTTCAAGCCCAAAGGAAAAATGAATATACAGGAGTCCACGTTGATTTGATTAATGATTGAATATGTAAATTCATAAGAAGGGGCAACTCTTAACTACAGAAAAATTCCAATGGATAAATGTAAAAGGAATAAGGGAAATAGAAAATCATTGTTATGACATTACAGTAATAATTGCTGCTGTCACCACTGATAAATGCTAAAATTAGTGGACAGAATTTTAAGGAAAAACAGGATATTTACGTAACTCAACATAGCAGTTATTGCAGTGGCTGTAGCATGCGTCCTCACCCTCATTTATCTCCCTGTTTCTAGGAGACGGAGCTTAATGTCACTCCCCTTGAGTGTGGACTGAATTTAGTGACTCAATTTCCAAGAATTGAGCAAGAAAAGGGAAAAATAATAACTTTATGTTGGAGAAATGCACAGAGTTCACCTTGCCCAAGTGATCAAAGGTGACTTCACAGTGGTAAGTCAGGACAATACCCTGCACCCTGACGTGATGTCGTGAAAGGGCACTCGCGTACGTGGTATTCTCTCCACAAGTCCATAACCCACGGCAATTGTGAGTAAGCCTCAGACAAACCCCCACCGCGGGTCACTCTCCGACATTGCTGGCAATCCTCTTCAAGAGTGTGCAGGTTATGAAAGGCCAGGACACACTGAGAAAGGGTCCCAGATGTGAGGAGACGAAGGAGATTTGACAGGAGAAGCATGATGGGATCCTGGAACAGAGCAAGAACGTTAGTGAAGAACAGGTGAAATGCTGCTAGAGCCTGTTGGTTCTTTGATAATAGCGTACCAAAAACAATTTTTTAGTTTTGATAACTGTACCATGGTTATGTAATACATTAACACTGGGGAAGCTCAGTGAATATGTGGACTCTTGGACTATTTTTATAACGCTTCTTGTGTAGAAGGTCTAAAATGATCTCAGAATACAAATTTAAATAAATTAATTTAATGCTCAAAACACCCTTGATTGGAACTTACAGCTGGCCCTCTGTATTCATGGGTTCAACCAATCACTAATTAAAAATATTGGAAACAAAAATTGCATCTGTACTGACCATATGCAGACTTTTTCTTGTTATTATTCCCTGAATAACACAGTATACCGACTCTTTACATAGCATTTACAGCACATTAGGTATTGTAAGTAACACAGAGATGATCTGAAGCATATGGGAGGGTGTGTGGAGGTGGTATGCAAACACTGCACCATTTTACAGCACGGACTTGAGCATCTGCAGATTTTGGCATCTCCGGGAGGTCCTGGGACCAATCCACTCTGGATACCAGGAGACAGCTGCATTTTCTCTCTAAACTTTGTAACGGTCTCATTCCATTGTCTCCCAGCCTCCATCATCTCCTTGGGAAAGTTAGCTTAAGTTTTGTTTTCCTTTGAAAGAAGTTGCCTTTTTTCCCGTTTTTAAAATTTTGTCTTTAGCTTTCAGCAATCTGACTGTGATATGCATAGGTGTATTTTTCTTTGTATATTTGTCTTGAACTTGTCTGGGTGAGCTCACACACTGGGGTTGGCTGCGGGTGACTCAGCACCTGGGCGAGCTCACACACTGGGGTTTGCTGCGGGTGATCAGCACCAGTGCACACACACCTCCATCCCCCATCAGACTAGCCTGGGCATGGTCTAATGGTGGTGGCAGAGGCACTGCAGGGAACAAGTCCAGCCACACAGCCTCACTTCTGAAGCCTGGGCCTGGGCCATGTTTGCTGACACCCCTTTGGCCAAAGAGAGTCACTAGGCTGTATCATCATCAGAGCCTGGGGTGTCCCAAGTCACACAGCAAAGGTGGGACCCAGAGAGTGGGAGCATGAGCCACCAGTAAAATCTATGCACCAGATTCACTGCCAGTGAGAGGCCCATCCACTACTGCCTGCCGCAGGCCAGGGGGCATCAGGGAGCACATGAATACTTAATACTCATTTGGACTGACGGTGCAGAAGCTTCTGTGCCCCTTATCCTCTTAACACCCTCAGGAGGTGTGAAACACCCCCATTTTACAGAGAAGTAAAATCACTCACCCCCAGCACACACCAGGTTTGGGGCAGGGCCAGGGGCTGACCTAACAGTCATCTCTGGAGCTGCTTTGAGCTACTGCCATGTTCCATGGGGAATGTGGTAGATGGGCATTCCTGTCCCATGGACACCTCCGAGGTCACACGCCCAAGCTGGTCAGCTGAGAAATGCCATCACCCACCTCACCTAAGACCAGGGGTGATACCCTGCCAGCCCCCTGCCATCATCCTTTTCAAACTCAGACTCTTGACAGTAAAGCCCAGAAACCCTGGGTGGTCCCAAATAGAAGCTGCCCCTCAGCCATGGAGCTCTTGGCCTGAAGGCCAGGATCAGCAGCAGGGTCTGAGATGGGCCAGCCTCCTCAGAAACCCCTGCTTACTTCTCCCACCCAACTGAGACCAGCCCTGGGGTACAACCCTTAAGCTGGGTTTGGCTGTGGGCTCCTCCCCACGGGGGTCCCTCCTGATGAGGGGAGAGCTCAAGGTGGGGTTGCCACACTGTTCCATGAGCAAAGCCAGAGAAGCCCCCCCAGGACCCGTGGAGGTGCAGCTGGACCACAGCCAGGTGCTGCAGAGCCTGGGGGCTGGACTCCCCTGGGACGCAGGTGACCATCAGCCCAGTGCAGGCGCCGGCCCCTCCTGCAGAGAGTCCGTCCCAGGGTGGAAGCCAGGCTCCTTGGTGCCTCGGGTCCAATCAGCCCTCGTGGGGAAGGGGGACTGGATCAGGCAGCTCCAGGGGGAATTTGAGGGACCAAGAGGATGTTGCCACTGGCTCAAGGGCAGTGCCTGCCCCTCCACCATGTCCAAGCACTGCCCAGAGCAGAGGAAAGCCCTGGAGGTGGATGCCGCCCAGAGGGACCCGCACAGCCCACACCAGGAGCTCTGGTGGAGGGAACAGAAGCAGACACCCGCATGGACACCACCCTCCTGCAGCGCTGCCCCCACCCCTGCCCCTCCCCTGCCTCCTCCCCACCCCTGCCTCCTCCCCTGCCCCTCCTCATCCCTAGCTGGGCTGCTGCAGTGGCTGATGACACTGTCCTGGCCTGGAGGAACAGAGACACATCCTGGAATTGTACGCTGGTCTCATTGTTGTGGCCCCTCTAGATGCCTGCACGGGGGTGTGGGCAGAGCCCACTGGGCTGTGCCGTTCTCTCCCCTTCCACAGAGCCTGACCTTTCAGTAGCTGCAGACTTGTTCATGGTGGTTCCAGTGCCTGAACAGGGAGCACAGGAAAGCTGTGGGGCTGTGGGGGGCGGGGAGGGGAGGGGGCGTCTGTTGAAATGTTCTGTTCGAGATGGGAACTAAGTAACCTCCTTGGCCTGAAAATGGGCATTGGGAGGAAGCAGATTTGGGGACGGGGATGTAAGGCTGGGAGGGGTCTGTGCGATCTCTGGGAAGCCATGAGGCTGGGCAAGATGGCCCAGGGAGTGATGAGGTGAATGGCAGAAGGGGCCAGGCACTGGGGTCTCCGACCCTATGAGGGGCATGGGAGATTGGCAGTGGGGTGTCAGGCGGGGGGTGGGAGAGCCAGGAGAAGCACATTCCAAGGACAGACAGAAAGAGGTCGGCTGACGGCCATGACTGGGAGGCTGGTGGGTGACTTGCTGGACAGACTTCAGCTGTGGGTGGGGCTGGGCATCTGACTGATGCCATGGGTGCAAGCAAAGGGCCGAGAGGAGCAGGACAGGACGGTGGGTGTCTGTCCTCCAGCACCATGCAGAGCAGGATGTGGGGAGGGAGGGAGGGGCTGGGTCTTCCTGAGTCCAGCGGCCGTAGCAGGGAGTGCACATATAGAGGAGGACACACTTGGGGATGCTGGATGGCGGGGACCATGGAGGCTCCCTCGATCTTCCTCATGGAAGGGGAGCTGAGGGTCAACCACAGAGGTGGGGGAGGAGGAGGGACACTGCAGGCTGGGGGATGGAGGAGGGGGAGGAGGAGGGACACTGCAGGCTGGGGGGATGGAGGAGGGGGAGGAGCAGGGACACTGCAGGCTGGGGGATGGAGGAGGGGGAGGAGCAGAGGCACTGCATTTGGGGAATGGAGGAGGGGCAGGAGCAGAGGCACTGCAGGCTGGGGGATGGAGGCAGGGAGGAGCAGAGGCACCGCAGGCTGGGGGGGATGGAGGAGGGTGCCCCATCTCTGCCAATCACTGGGGACCCATTCCCAAGTCCAGGGCTCTGCCTTGATGAGCCATGCTCCAAGCAATCCTCTCTGGGGCTTTTAGATGAAATATCTGAAGACCAGAGAAAGGGGCAGTGGGGAAGAGGTCTTTGCAGACCACTCCGGAGACAGGAGAGGAAGAGAAGAGTAGAGCACAGAGATGAGGGGGCATCCTGCGTGGAGGTGGCCTGGAGATGATGGCCTGGAGGTGGCCTGGAGATGATGGCCTGGAGGTGGCCTGGAGATGATGGCCTGGAGGTGGCCTGGAGGCAGCCTGGAGGTGGCCTGGAGATGATGGCCTGGAGGTGGCCTGGAAATGATGGCCTGGAAGTGGCCTGGAGGTGGCCTGGAGATGATGGCCTGGAGGTGGCCTGGAGATGATGGCCTGGAGGTGGCCTGGAGAGGGCCTGGATATGATGGCCTAGAGATGGCCTGGAGATGGCAGGGAAATGCCACGTGGGGGGTACCAATTATTAAGGGGACTAGTCAATTGCCAAAGCCTCCGATTATGATGGGTATTACTATGAAAAAGATTATAACGAATGCATGGGCTGTGACGATGACGTCGTGGATGTGGTCATTACCTAGAAGGTTGCCGGGTTGGCCTAGTTCAGCCCGAATAAGGAGGCTTAAAGCTGGAGGTGGCCTGGAGATGATGGCTTAGAGATGGCCTGGACAGGCCTAGAGATGATAGCCTGGAGGTGGCCTGGAGGTGGCTCGTCCCCTGTTGCTGCATCCTCATGGCAGCCAGGGGTCTTTTGGAAGGCCTGGCCAGCCACTGCTGAGCCACTTCCCCCAGCTTCATCCCCTGTGACTCTGACAAGCCCCCACCAGCCACAGGGATGAGCAGACCCTGCCCAGGGACACCATCCAGCTGCCCATGTGGCCCTGAGTGCTGGCTTACCTGCCTGCCTATGTCTCTGGGGGTCCCTGTTGGGAGCCCCGGCTCCCCAGCAAGATTGGTCCTCTCCTGGGTGGGGGCTTCCGCAGCAGCTGGAGAGAAGGGGGAGCATTCCCCATTAATTGAACCTGGGCTGAGTTTCTGTGGGAGCTTTGCCCTGGGAACCCATGGTGGCCATAAAACACCAAACTCAGATGTTGCAAGAACCAAACTCAGAGCCCCTGTGACATCAGTGGAATGAGAGCGGGAAACCAGCCCCTGGGGAATCAGCCATGTTCTGCAGCAGAGGGAGGGCATGTGAGATCCAACTGAAGCCTCTTCTGCCTTCAGCAAAGGCTGCGGTGCAATCCTGCATTCTTGTTCAGGCAAATGTTTTCCTTGAAAAAACCTCTTGATGATGAAGCCGGTTTAACTGGTGTTGACCAATGGGGTGTCAGCTTTGAAGGATGACACTGGTCAGCCTAGGAGGTCTTGGTGGTGGAGGCCAGGGGCCCTACCCAGACCCCGGGGGACCTGGCTGCTGGGCATGTTGATGGCTCCCTTGTTCAACTGCACCCCCTCTGGGAGCAGCCCTTGGTGAAGAGGATTGTAATACATGACCCCAAAATATGCCACTTTTGCATAAGAATTATTTTGAGCTGAAGGCAATTCAGAAGCTACAGATTCAGGAAGAGCTCTCTACCCTCCTTTTTCGCCTAAAAGCAGGGCATACATTTCTCTGGGTAAAGGTGTTCCCCTCTCCAGTACCAGGCAGAGGAGAATGACTCTTAACTACGAAAAAGCCCCTACCAAACAACACTTACCTCCCATGCATTTTTTAATCACCGCCAACAATCTACCACCCCTAGGAGCCCAAACCCCCTTTTTCCTTTGTCCTTCTCCACAATTTATCACCCTTTGTTAAAATGGTATATAAGTCCCCGTGTCTCATCCCTTCTTTGGGTTTTTGCTTCTTGTCTGTGAAGCTTCCGTGCACATAACATTCAAATTTAAATTTAATTTTCTGCTATCTTTTCTGCTGCAAATCTGCCTTTTGTCAGTTTAATTTGCAAACCTCAGGAACAGAACCTGAGGGGAGTGATAAAGGTTTTCCTCCCCTAAATAAGCCAATAGGGAAGGATACAGTGTATAAAGGTCCATAAGGCCCCTGCTCTTATGGGGGCTACTTGGAAGGGCTACCCCAGCCCCACAGTGCCCAGGGGTTGGCTGATACCATAAATCTCCTGGGAGAATCAACACTTTGGCCTTGTGTTTTTAAAAACACAGATATGAAAGCAGGTACTAGCACCACGCAGAGCCCTTCCTTAGAGCGCAGAGGGGCCATTTCTCCCATTATCGGATTCCAACCCCACTTGACAGGTGGGAAACAGCAGATAAAGGACTCCAGGATGGGGCTTCCCCAGGCCAGAGAAAAAACTCAACCACCCAAAAGTACAGAACCCACCCAGGCTCTGGAGGGGTCCACGGCTGAAAATCCCATCTTGGGACCTATGTTTTGGGAGGGGAAGAGTGGGGAGGATCATTTTCTCCTTCATTAATCACAGACACTTGGGTTTATTGTTGTCGACTTTCTCTGACATGTGTTGGAGCCAATATTTATTTGTTAAAGGAAAACCAGCAGTAAAACATTTGCTTTGTTACAAAATAAAAGCCACATTCCAGGGAAGTATACAAAGGGCTTCGCACACTGAGATGCCGCTCCCTGCCACGGGAGGCTGGACGACTGCACGGGAGAAAATTCCAGCCAGCCCCAGGCTCTTTGTGATTCTTCCTCTAAAGACTCGAAAGGAAGAAGCAATCTTCATTAACAAACAAACAAACCAAAGAGGGGAGCCGACTCTTACTGAAACTTTAAACAGAACCACATGGACCCTCCCAGGCTAGTAATCCAAGTCTCCAATCCACTCACCCAGCCCTGGGGCAACTCGGGTTTCAAGCATAGAATTCTCTGTCACTTCCACCCAATACACAGGGACAAGGGCACTGCCAGGCTGCTCCCTCCTGGGCCCTCTCTTTGCATGACAAGGCAGTTGTGGTCTGAGACCTGGAGGTCCCGCAAAGCCAGCTCTAGGAGGGCCTGACCCCAAACTCCTCCCCATCCCCGCAGTTCTCCCCCTGCCCTCCCAGCACCTCACCTTCCTTTGGGGCTGGCCAGGGAGGGAGGCCTTGGAGAAGCAGGCAGGTGAGGCCCTGGGTGACCTCTCAGGTGACAGGGAGGCACATTGCACTGCTGTGACCGTGCCACCGCCCTCCTCAGTGACTTACGTGTCAGGGAAAATACTGAGATTCCCCTGATTAGTCCTTTAGCCCAGGGATCACCAGGAACAGAGTCCCTAAACTGGAGGCCTGATTCTTTCTCATCACTGTCCAGAGCTGCTCTCACCAGGGCCACAGTGGCCCCGAGCCGCCTGATTCCTTCTCATCACTGTCCAGAGCCGCTCCCATCAGGGCCAAGGTGGCCCCGAGCCGCCTGATTCCTTCTCATCATTGTCCAGAGCCGCTCCCATCAGGGCCAAGGTGGCCCCGAGCCGCCTGATTCCTTCTCATCATTGTCCAGAGCCGCTCCCATCAGGGCCAAGGTGGCCCCGAGCCGCCTGATTCCTTCTCATCATTGTCCAGAGCCGCTCCCATCAGGGCCACGGTGGCCCCGAGCCAGCCACAGGAACCCGTCCCACTCTCCTCGGAACCTCCTCCCCAGCCCCCTGGGTATCAGGCTTGGTTTGCACCTTTGTCTCTGCTGCTCCCTGGTCACAGCGCACGCCCTCCCCATCCGGGGTGCTGTCCCTGCTCCTTCTCTGAACTCCTCTGTCCAGGGGCTGACTTGATTTCCCTGATTGCACCTCCCTGAGCCCCTCAGATCCAAAAGACCTGAGCCAACCCCTCACCTCTGCCTTGATTCTGGCATCTGCTGGGCCCGCCCCCAGGAGCCACATTCACAGCCTTGGACATCCATCCCCACCTTCATGCTGACAGATCCCTAAGGGAGGTAAGAAAACTGAGGCACGGGGTGGTCAAATGCCTCAGCCATCAACACCCCACTGGTGGATGGGAAGCCAGGGTTTGAGCCCCGGTGAGCCCAGGTGAGCTGGCTCCAGAGCCACTTATCAACGGAGGCTCGAATGTCCCAATCTCAGCACAGGTGGTGAATGCTATCACGGGGAAGACACCCCTTCCTCTTCCATTTCCTCTGTCTTGATTCAGCCTTCTGGCCAGTTAATGTCAGCGCCGTGGTGCCCATCCCAGAACAGAAGCTCCTGCTGATGAATAATTTCCGGCCTCACCGTGACCCAGCCTCTCCCGTGTTTATCTGTATCTATCTGTCATCTACCCCCACCTTACACCCAGCGTCCGTCCATGCACACACGCTCACCTCGCACCCAGAGTCCGTCCGTGCACACACTCACCTTGCACCCAGAGTCCATCCATGCACACACGCTCATCTCTCACCCAGCGTTGGTCCGTGCACACACGCTCACTTCGCACCCAGCATCCGTCCGTGCACACACGCTCACCTCGCACCCAGTGTCCATGCACACACACTCACCTCGCAACCAGCGTCCATCCATGCACACAGGCTCACCTCGCACCCAGCGTCCGTCCGTGCACACACGCTCACCTCGCACCCAGCGTCCGTCCGTGCACACACGCTCACCTCGCACCCAGCGTCCGTCCGTGCACACACGCTCACCTCGCACCCAGCGTCCGTCCGTGCACACACGCTCACCTCGCACCCAGCGTCCGTCCGTGCACACGCTCACCTCGCACCCAGCGTCCGTCCGTGCACACACGCTCACCTCGCACCCAGCGTCCGTCCGTGCACACACGCTCACCTCGCACCCAGCGTCCGTCCGTGCACACACGCTCACCTCGCACCCAGCGTCCGTCCGTGCACACGCTCACCTCGCACCCAGCGTCCGTCCGTGCACACGCTCACCTCGTACCCAGCGTCCGTCTGTGCACACATGCTCCCCTCGCACCGAGCGTCTGTCCGTGCACACGCTTACCTCACACCCAGCATCCATCTGTGCACACACGCTCCCCTCGCACCCAGCATCCGTGCACACGCTCACCTCGCACCCAGCATCTGTCCATGCACACACTCCCCTCGCACCTAGCGTCCGTCCATGCACATACTCACCTTGCACCCAGCATCCATCTGTGCACACACCCTCACCTCGCACCCAGCATCTGTCCGTGCACACACGCTCACCTCACACACACTCCCCTCGCACCCAGCGTCCGTCGGTGCACACACGCTCACCTCCCGCACCTCCCGTGGAGGCGGCATCCAGGCAGGGAAGCAAGGACACTCTGCGTCCATTCCTCTCTCTAAACACCAAGGCCCCCGCAATCCGAGGAATATATTTGACAGAAACAAGAAAAAAGGATGAAAGTGGCCAAGACAAGCCGATCCCTTCTATCTGTTTTCAGGAACATGATTTTGTGGCCCCAAACTCCTTGAAGCCCGATGCTTCCACCTCCCTCCCACTCCACTCTCCCCCGACACATCCGTCCAGCTCCCGTTCCTCTTGGGCACCCACCTCTGCCATCTCAGCAGGGTTCCCAGCACCCCCAGGCAAGGCCTGTGTGTGGCGCTTTACTGGGAGTGCGCTGGGGAAGAGGGAGGCATGGGCTGGAATAACCACAGAGACCGGCCCTGCACAGATAGCAGAAAGGGAAGGGGATGTGTTGCCCGGCCCACCTCGGCTCACGCAAGACGCTCGGACACTTGGAGACCTGGACTGAAGCAGCCTCCAGGGGAGGAGAGAGGGGTGCCGCTCACCACTGCCCCCTCCCAAGCCCAGCGTCTAGGTCTGGTTCACCCTCGCGAGGTCGCCTGGCCCATGTCTGGCTACCTGAGCTGGCCACTGCTGAGGCAAAGCCCACCCGGCTGCTGTTCTGGAAGTGGCTCTGGAAAGCCCAGCTCCTGTGGGTACAGGATCGCTGAGCGCCAGGCATGGGGGCCACAGCCAAGGCAGGATCGCTGAGCGCCAGGCATGGAGGCCACAGCCAAGGCAGCCGCAGGGGCAGGTGCTGGGCTGTCTAGGAGCAGTGACCAAGCACCCAGAGGAGCCCAACAAGGCCCAGCACATAAAACCAGCAGCAGAGGCCCAGGAGCCACTTAGCCAGAGAGACACCTGGTGTTCACCCCAGCACGCAGATGGGGAAAGGCTAAAGCACAAAGAAGCAACTGTGTACAGAGAGCTTCACCCCGAAATCAGAGACAGCCAAAGTCCGCCCAGAGAGGAACTGGTCGGAGTCCTGTCCAGGCCGAAAGGTGGTGGGTGGGTGCTTTAGGGGCCAGTGGGGAGCGAGGCCGAAGCTATCTCTGTGCAGCTGCCCCCTCACGCTGCTGTGGCCCCAGGGTTTGGTTCAGATGCTGAGTGTCCGGTGACTTCCAGACACTTCCTTTCCAGTCTCAGGGAACCCACCCCACAAAGCGCCTGCCCCAGGACCTGGGTGGCGCGTCTGTGTCTTCTCAGCATATCCGGTTCTTGGAGCAGGGAGACGACCCAGATCCTGCTCTCTGGCTCCTGGCCCGCTGCCCCCAAGCTGTCACCAAGGCAGGTCATGGATGTTCCGTGTCATGGCTGCGTGGGCCGTTCGACCACGGCCACACACGCATAGACTGAGGAAGACAGAGCAAGGGGCTGATCGCTGCCAAGCAGTGGATGCCAGTGCACCGTGACAAGGAGCCCAGAGCCTTTGGTGGGCGCCTGACTGTGTCTTCAAGTTCCCGGGATCTGTGTGGACAGCTGCCATCCCAGTCGGCCCTTTCTTGGTTTTCTTGGTTTTCAGAGAAGGGGCGAAGAATAAGGGGGCAGCGTCTTCTCCACCAGAAGACACACCTGCAAAGCTCCATGAAGGCAGGCACTGGCTGAGGAGGAAGAAGGAAACAGGTCTCTCAGGAGCCTCTGCCCTTGCAGCCAGGGATGGGCAGGAGGCCAGTGCCTGGTAGGGAGCAGCCTGCGGGTTCAGCTCAGGTGTAAACAGCATGGTCAGCTGGAAAATGGTCCCCAAATACGCCAGGTCTCAATCCCTGTGGTGCTTGAATGTGACCTTATGTGGCAAATGTGTCTTTGGGGATGGGATTGAGTTAGGATCCCGGGATGGGGGTGATCAACTGGGGTCATCCGGGTGGGCCCCAGGTGGCATTGCAAGGTTCGCACAAGACGGAGACTTGACATGGAGGAAACCATGGACCACGGAGGCAGAGAGCACCATGAAGAGGCTGTCCACGAAGGTCAGAGCGATGTGGCCGCAAGCCAAGGAGTGCACGGCCGCTGGGAGCCAAGAGAAGCCAGCAGGACCTTCTCCAGGGCCTCAGAGGGGCCCCTTGGCCTAGTGATGCTGGTTTCAGACTCCTGCCCTCCAGACCGTGAGCATGCGTTTCCGTTGTTTAAAATCACCAAGGCTGTGGCCATTTGTCACAGCAACCCCAGGAAGTCCACAGAATGGGAAAGGAGACGGGAGAGGAGGATGGCTGGGCTCAGCTGTCAGGCTGGGCTGTGCGGGGCTCCCTTGGGTGGTGGGGAGGAGCCTCTGAAAGGGAGCTCAGGGAGGGGCTGCCCATGGAGAAAGCACTGGGTGGAGAAGCTGTCGGTCAATTATCTGGTGATTGCACCTGCCTGTTGCCAGTCACAGTCTTCCTCCAGGAGGGGTCACCGACCACGGGCCACATCCACTCCTCTCTGCTGCAGGAATCCTGTCCCTGCTAAAGCTGATCCTGGCTTTATCTGCCCTTTGCAGAGGTGTGGGGCTTTGGCCCTCCACTGGGCACCGCACAGCGTGGGAGCCCCCTCCCCCTGGCCCCTGCGGTGGGGTCGGCTGAAGCACTGGGCTGGTCACTCGGTGGAAAAGGACACAAGTTCCCCTTGGGGCCCAGAGGCTGCACATCCGTCCTTCCAGGACTGGGCCTAAGGAATTAAATGGCTGTGAAAACAGGGGCACTGTGAGCCCCAGAGTCGGGCCATGTCATCTGAGGATGATGGTGGCAGCAGCAAAGCTCCAGATGTGGACACAGTCCCTTCACCTACCGGGGCTGCACTTCCTCCGGTGCCACAGCCAGGCCAGGCGCCCTCCCTGAGGGAATCCGCGGGTCCCGATGGCCTCTGGGGTGAGACACTGGGACGTGCCTGCAGAGCAGCAAACACTCTCTGGGCCTCACACCCTCTTCCCGGCTGCACAGCGGCACCCCCAGGGGCCTGCCCCTGCTCAAAGCCAGCCCCACCGCCCAAGGTCTGGACCTGCCTGCCCTGCAGGTGGGGCTCAACTTCCTCGGGTTTTCTGCTCCCAGGTGATTTTCCTCCCTGCAGCCAGGGCTGAGCACCTCGGCCAAGTGGCTCTTTGCTTTAAGAAGAGAGGGAATCTCCCAGCCGCCAGCCCATTGAGGCTCCCTGCACAGGACGGGACTCAGCGCCGCGGCGGTGGCATGGCCGTGCCGGGCTGTGCTGTGACCTGAGGCCTCGTCCGTGATGACCACGTCCTCGCAGAGCCTGGGGGCAGGGCCGGGGGGTGGTCAGATGCGGTGGAGCCTGTGCCCTGTGCATGACCGAAGCCACAAGCATCAAAACAGCTACATTCATGCTGAAGAGGACATTTATTTTTATTTTTGAGACGGAGTCTTGCTCTTTCGCCCAGGCTGGAGTGCAGTGGTGCGATCTTGGCTCCCTGCAACCTCCGCCTCCCGGGTTCAAGTGATTCTCCCACCTCCGCCTCCCAAGTAGCTGGGATTACAGGCACGTGCCACCACGCCCAGCTAAATTTTTTGTATTCTTAGTAGAGACGGGGTTTCGCCATGTTGGTCAGGTTAGTCTCGAACTCCCAGCCTCAAGTGATCCCCCCTCCTTAGCCTCCCAAAGTGCTGGGATTATAGACGTTAGCCACCGTACCCAGCTGGCAAAATTTCTAGGTGAAATAATAAAATAAAATAAAAATAGTGGTCGGAAATCTGTCTCCTGAGACAGAAGTGTCTGATTTTCTATAACTCAGTTAAAAGTGGTGCCAATAGAAACGCAGTTACGACGTCAATACCGGAAGGCCAGGAATGCCGCGTGGTGAAGAAAGTGGGTCCAGAGGCCCTCCCTGACCTTGGTGTGCTCGGCCTGGACATGCCTGTCACTGTTGATGAACAGCAGGTGCAGATGTGTGTGCCGCCCTGACTGGGGTCTCGGGGAGGCGCGGCGCCGTCCCACTGCCTAGAACCGGCTGGTGTGTGTTTTTGTTTATCTGCCCACAGCTCCTGGTTGAACAAATTCTCTGGTTTCATTTTTCCCATAACAAAATGAGCTTTCTCAGTAATGACAAAAGAAAACTTATGTTCTGAGGCACGGAAGCCTCCATAAAGGAGGGGAAAGTGCCCCTTATATTCCAGGGCACCCTTCAGTGGCCTGGAGGAGCCCTGCCTCCCTGGAGCCGTGCGCTAGGTCGGGCTGTGTGGCTGGGGCAGGCGTGCTTCCCATCCACCCAGCTCCAGCAGCTCCAGCTCCTGCAGGACGCACATCTGGCCCCATCTGCATTCTCTCACCAAAGCCTTCCACCAGAACCTCCCACCCACTCTGGAGCCCCTTCTCTCCACTGCCAGAGCCAAGGAGGCGGCCGCAGGAGTCATTCTGGGGGTCAGAAGCTGACCTCTGCTCTATTCCCTCTATTCCTTCGGGGATTTTGTGACCATGGCCAAGTCATGGTGGCAGGACCTCAGCTCCCCTGTGTGCACCTGGGGTTGGCGTCATAGACCGTCTCCATGGCCTGCCAGCCCCAGTAGGTTTGTAACCGCATCTGAGGCCACTCGTGGCTTGATAAAGAAGAAAGAGACAGGCCGAGGGAGGGAGGTGGAGGTGAGGGTGGCGATGAGATGCGTTGGGGAGATGCAGAAGGAGCTAGAGAGGGAGGTAGTGAGGGGGAGTGGAGCAGGGCAGAAGCTGGGCAGATCCACCCAGCCCAGCACCCCTGCCCAAGGGAGTGCGGGAGCCTGGGTGGGGAAGAAGTGTGGGAGGAACAGGGGAGACCCTGACTTCATGCCGCTCGCAGGCAGGGCCCTCCCTGTTGGTGAGGGGGTGCTTTTAGGCAGGTGTTCCTGGTCGGGGGAGGCCAGTCTAGATCAGAAGAGCAGGCTTGACCCCTCCTTGGCCTTTAGCAGTGCCTTGAGGCCGAGTGAGGGTCCTAGGCTGGTGGACGTGGCTCTCGAGAGGCCTGTGGACTGATTCCACCACACGTGGCTGCCTCTCCGTGAGCCGCACGGGCAGCGTGCTAGGCCTGCGTGCCTCGCCGGAGGGAGGGCTGAGTCGCACTGGCTGGGACATGGGAAACACGCCACCCAGCCACGCCAACTCCGAGGCAGACGAATGCCACTTTCTGCATGATATTTCCCCCAGATGTCCGCATCTTTCCCCCAGATGTCATCAGTGCCTGCTTCCCTCCCTGTGGAGGGCTCTGAGGGCCGACCCCCAAAGTCCATCTTTCCCCCAGATGTCATCAGTGCCTGCTTCCCTCCTTGTGGAGGGCTCTGACGGCCGACCCCCAAAGTCCATCTTTCCCCCAGATGTCATCAGTGCCTGCTTCCCTCCCTGTGGAGGGCTCTGAGGGCCGACCCCCAAAGTCCATCTTTCCCCCAGATGTCATCAGTACCTGCTTCCCTCCTTGTGGAGGGCTCTGACGGCCGACCCCAGGGTGGGAGAGGGCCAGCCCCCCAGCAGCAGGAGCAGTTTAAACTGCGGGTAAGTGTGCTCCAGGGGCCCTGGTTCTGCAGAGCCACACGCCGAGGCTCCTGAGCTATGTGAGGAATCCAGGGTGCAGCTCACTGCGTGTCGCCCAACTGCCCTGGGAACCGGCACTGCAGGGTCAGGTGCATCCCTTTCCATGTGAGCTCCTGGCCAGCCCAGGCAGACAGGGGAGGCCACACAGCTTCCAGGCAGGCAGCGGCTGGGCCTGAGCTGGCCCATACCTGCCGGGCTCCTGTCCCACCGGCTGTGTCCGGCCAGCCAGGGCTGGGGACATACACACCTGAGCTGCTCTCAGGAGCACTTTTACTGGAACCTCGAGGAACCTCAACCTCCTTGTTTCTAGGTTGCAGCTCCATTACGTGCTCTGCAAGTGAAAGATGCTGAGGTGGACACTAACGTCGGGAGGGAAGCCTAAACATTGACGTCATCTGTGCAAAAAGTCAGGAGCATCCACAGGTCCACTCTGTCCCGGACACGTTCTCAAAGTCAGGAGCATCCACAGATCCACTCTGTCCCGGACACGCTCTCACGCTCTCTCCGGTTTGACTTTGCAATAACACAGCCCACGAGGGTCACCGTGACCTTGAAACAGTCCTGGCTACTTTAAAATTAGCTGCCCCTAGGAGCATGGAAGATGATTCATCCCGTGACAAATCTTGCCTTATGTCTCTTTTAAACACACACATCTGGGTATCAGGCAGCCTCACGGGGGCAGCTTGGTTGTGCTGGAACTCAGCCTCATTGACTCCGGTTTCATGTGCACAGAAACTGACTTTGAAACTTGCAGGAAGAGGCTGTCCTGGAAGAAGCTGCAGCCTGCAGAGACGGCCCTGGGCTTCCTGCATCGCTCCCTTCCTGCCACGGGGCTGTGCCAGGAGCTTCCATGCAGCTCTCACACACAAGGCAGGTCCCCAGCTGGCTCTCTGCAGAGCCTGACCTGAGGCACCCATTCGATGAGAGCAGGTTCTCTCAGTGTAGAACCCAGACCAGCAGAAGCCGCATCACAGGGACGCTTCAGAGACGCACTGCTCAGCCCAGAACTGCCAGGCCTGGCAGCCGGGGTGCGGGGACCCTGGGACCCTGATGTTGTGTGAGTTCAGGAAAAACAGCGTTGCCTTCCTGAATGCTGTTCCATTTACTTCTAGCTCCTACGTGTTTCTTCAAGTAAAACACAGTCGAGCCTCATTATTCATGGGCAAATTTGCCTACTTACTAGCATTTACCCTAACCCAGATTCAATACTCAGGGCACCTCCACGGTCATTGGTGGACGTCACAGCGTCACAGCAATGAGACGTGAGTTTCCTGACACGGTGTCTGGGCGGGGGCAGAACGAGCCATGCTTTGGTGTCTCGTTTGTGTGTGCGTGAGTGTGTGAATGTGGGAGTATGTGAGTGTGTGTTCATGTGTGTGTTCGTAAGCGTGTTCTCACCTCAACACTAACAACCCTGACTGGCATGTGATGGCAGCCTCATGGGGCTCCAAGCCCATGTGTATGGGCTCCCTGTCTGTGCTGGAAGGTTCTACAGCAAAAATCAGCCCCTGCTCACCAGAGGCAAACTGAGCATGAAAGGAAATGAAAGACGTGAACTTTAATGCCTCTCATGTGCCGGGAGAACGAGGTCACACAGCAAATCACGGCTCTTGGGAATCAGGATGTGTTTGAAAACTTCAGGGGCTCTGAGCCCTCATGAACCCAACCGATGGGCAAGCAGCCCAGGCCCAGGCTGGAGATGGGGATGGGGCTGGCCATGGTCCCTGCCAGGAGCTGGAAGCCACTCCCGCCCCTCCTGCTCTCTCCATGTCCACTGGACACTGTCCCTGGTCCTGGGAGAAGAGGGAAGGCCTCTCAGCCTCCACTGGAGGGACTGCTGGGCGAGCCTGATCTACACCACAGCACTCCCCACCACAGGAGCGACTTCACTGACCCCAAGGGGGACACTTCCCTTAAAAGGATCATCCCACACTGACCCTTGTCTTGGGAATCCCAAGTCGGAGGTCACGTCAGAGGCAGGAATCCAGGCTCAGGGACATCTGCCCTGTCCCCAGAGGTCTTTGTTGTCCGAAGCCCTGCATTCTCTGGCTCTAAGGAATTCTGAAGCTATTTTGGACACTGCAGCCCTTCCCAGGGTGGCCAGAAGAGGACAGGCAGGCTTGCTTGGGGTGGGAGGAAGCCGTGGTCCACACTGGAGCATAGAAACCAGCCCTGTAAGCCACCCTGCTGGCCTCACAGGTTGTAGGGAGCAAAGGCCGTGTTGAAGCCCAGGAGCCCCTCAGGAAGGAAACCCCTCAGACTAGGGAACATG
The DNA here is from genome assembly GCF_000001405.40 of Homo sapiens. NCBI lineage: Eukaryota > Metazoa > Chordata > Mammalia > Primates > Hominidae > Homo > Homo sapiens. Next base: position 45,388,675 of record NC_000021.9, read on the forward strand.
GGGAGTGGGCAGCCACTCCTCCCCACCCTCAGGCCCATAAGCTGCACTCCCCACAGTCCCCAGGTTCATCCACAGGGAGGCCCCAGCAGGAAGGCAGGGCCAGGGCGCAGGGCGAGGTCGGGGGAATGGACTCCCCTGGGTTTCTCCCTGCCGATCGCTGTAGTGGTTGAGTCCTCCACTGAGCACAGCCACTCCTGTAGGCTTACCCCGCTGCAGCTCGCTCTCGGATCCTAATAAACAAGTGAGTCCTCCACTGAGCACGGCCACTCCTGTAGGCTCACCCCACTGGAGCTCGCTCTCGGACTCTAATAAACAAGTGAGTCCTCCACTGAGCACGGCCACTCCTGTAGGCTCACCCCACTGGAGCTCGCTCTCGGACTCTAATAAACAAGTGAGTCCTCCACTGAGCACGGCCACTCCTGTAGCCTCGCCCTGCTGAACCACTCCTGTAGGCTCACCCCCACTGGACCACTACTGTAGGCTCACCCTGCTGGAGCACCCTCTCGGACTCTAATAAATGAGTTAGTAGCCCTGGGCACTGTACGTCCTGTGTTGAGTTCCACAAACCCTGCCTTTGCCTTTGTAAATCATCTCCTTTTTAAAGTCTTCACAGAGTATCAATTCTGACTATGCCCTCTGCTTCTTTGTGTGTCATGTTTTTGAAATCTTTTCCAAACACACCCTCTAAAAGAGAGCCACTTACCATTTTTTTCTTCTCTTTTTTTTTTTTTTTTTTTTTGAGACTGAGTCTCACTCTGTCACCCAGGCTGTAGTGCAGTGGTGCGATTTTGACCCACTGCAAGCTCCACCTCCCAGGTTCAAGTGATACTCTTGCCTCAGCCTCACGAGTAGCTGAGACTACAGGGACCTGCCAACACGTCCAGCTAATTTTTGTATTTTTTGTAGAGACGGGGTTTCACTGTGTTAGCCAGGATGGTCTCGATCTCCCGACCTCGTGATCCACCCACCTCAACCTCCCAAAGTGCTGGGATTACAGGTGTGAGCCACTGTGCCCGGCCACATTTTCTAACTAGAATTTACGGTTTTGTTTTTGACATTTAAATCCTTAATCCACTGGGAGTTACTTTCATCTTTTTCCATATGGACAACTATTTTTTTCTAGCTCTACTGATTGATAGGTTTCCCCTGTTTCCACCAACCTGCAAAGCCATTGGTTCCACCCACACAAAAATTTGTTCCTGAGTTCTCTGTCCAATCCTGGTGCCCGTCTGTTTTTCCAGGCAAAAATCTCACATCACTTCCACTGCTATAATTTCTTAACAATCCCAACATGCGGTGGAAAAATCTCCCTTCCTCTTCAGAAGTGTCCTAGCTATTCCTGTTTTTTTAGTCTTCCATATGCATTTTAGAATAATCACATCAATTCTCACGGAACACCTTTTTGGGATTTTGGTTGGACGTCCCCCAACCCCTGTCCCTGCCTGGCCATGCTGGGGAGACGCCCACCTTCTCCAGGGGCTTCGCCGTAAGGGACAGGCCTGACACCAGGATTCTCCAAGAACTGCCTGCGTCTCTTCCTGCTGAGCACTCACCTCACCGAAACCACAACAGGTAACGAACTCGGCCGCTGGTTCCTGCCCCGGGTCTCGCCAGTGGGGGCCCAGTGCTTCTGTTCACCAGCACCAGGGGCCTGGCCCACATCCCAGACAGCAAGGTGGGAGGACACAGAGGGGCTCTGCCTGCAGAGGCCTTCCAAACCCTGCCCACCTGTGCCCCCCGGGTGGGCTGGCCAGGTCCCCTCCACTCATTCCACAGCCCGCAGCAGGTGACTTCGGGCTGGCAGCTGGTTGGGGAGGCTGCCTTTTTACCGTGCCCTGAGTGAGTCAAGGCTGAAGGCTGCTGCCCGGGGATCTCTGCGCCGACTTGCAGCAGCACACAGAGGGCTCCGTGTGGCTCTAAGGTGGGCAGGGAGAGCCAGTGGCAAGCTCAGAAGACTTCCAGAACCGCCGGCCCGTGGCAGCGGGAGTCGGCTGCGAGGCTGTCCCAAGGCCGGGTGTCCTGCAGGGCTGGGCAAAGGGCACGCTGGCCTCTGCCTCCCCTCACGGGGCCGGGCAACACCCTGGATCTTTCCCTTTTCCTTCATTTACAGAAACCCCTTGAGGGAGGCGAAGGTGGAGAGAAGAGCCAGACAGGAGACAGGAAAAGGGGAGGCAGATGGCGGGGGCGGGGGCAGGACAGGAGCTCAGAGGGAAGAGGGGGACCACCGTGGGGAGGGCAGGACGGAGAGGAGAGGGGCTGGGTGGGTGGGGCTGCAGCGTGAGGCCCCCACGACCACTGCCTTCCCAGGCTCGCCCCCCAGCCCCTTCACCTGCATCCTGGACGTGACAGTCCTAGCTCTTCCCACCCCGGCCCTCCCAGCACCCCCAGGCCTCCTCCCACAAGTTGAGGGGCCAGAAACGCCACGTGTCCCCTTCACCGGCACCTGAAGGCAGAGCAGGGGAGTTGGGTCTGGACGAGCCTCTTCACTGAGAACATCCCCAGAAAGCTCAACTTCATCGTAAAAATTCATCCACATTTGTAGTCCTGGTCTTAAGGTTTTTTATTGACTTTGCTTACCGTAAGATACACCACGCATCCACAAGTGTGTGTGTGATGTGTTTGCGTGGTTTACAGAATAACATAAAAACCATCCGAAACACACCACTGTCCACAAGCTGAGTCTGAGGCCAGGCTCCCAGGCAAGGAGGTGGTCCCTGGTGGCACGGGCAGGGTGCGTGGAGACGGGGACCCAGAGGATGCACGGGAAAAACATGCCTTTATGGTTCAGTTACCTCCCACCGGGTCCCTCCCACAACATGCGGGGATTATGGGAGGCACAATTCGAGATGAGATTCGGGTGGGGACAAACCACATCACCTGGCTACCTACTACTGTACCACGCATACCCGGCCAAGATGAGATTCGGGTGGGGACACAGCCAAGCCACATCACCTGGCTACCTACTACTGTACCACGCATACCCGGCCAGGGAAACCCCCACCCGAGGGTGCAGACTGAACTAACTAGTGCTTGAACTGTCATGAATCATGTTTATTGACAGAGAATTGGCATACAACAAGCTGCACATCAGTGTCCATTTGACATGAGTTGACATCTGTGTGTACCCACGAATCCACTGCCACCATACAGGCAGTGAACAGACCCACTTCTCAGGGTTCCTTGTGTCCTCTGTCCTGTCCTCCACAGCCACTCCCAGTCCCGACCCCAGGCAACCATTGATCTATTTTCTGTCACATAGGTTGGTTTGCATTTGCTGGAATCTTACGTGAACACAATCCTGCAGTTCACACCTTTTGGTCTGGCTTCTTTTCCTTGGCACAAGCTCTGTGCTGTTTGCCTGTGTTGTGGCCCACACTGAGTTCACTGCGTTCTACTCCTGAGTGCCCTCCGTGGGAGAGGAGCTCCGGGCTGGCTGATACACTCGCCTCCTGACAGGAGCTTGCTTTGCCTCCAGTTTGCAGCCCTCACAAACAAGGCCGCTATGAACATGTGGCTTCAGGTCTTGATGCGGATGACTGAGGACCTGAATATCTGGATCACGAGACAGGTGTGTGTTTAACTTTTTAGCAAGCGGCAAAACTGTTTTTCAGAAGGGTCGTCCTACTGCGGAAGTGAGTGGCCTTCCCTGAGTTTCCAGTCGGTGCTGGGAGTTCCCTGAGTTTCCGCACTCAGGGCCGGGAGTTCTAGCTGCTCCACACCTTTGACGACTCTTGCTACAGTCGGTCTTGTAAATTGTAACCTTTCCAGGGCCCCAGGATGAGAGAGTCTTTCGTTCCCCTTTTCACAGATGAGGAAACAGAGTCACAGAGAGGCTGAGGAATGTTCCCGAAGTCACAAACCCGGCGAGTCCTGGAGTCAGGCCTCGAGCTCTGAGCCGGGCGGAAACTCAGTGGGGGTCTCCGGAAAAGGCCTGAGCCACAGGCGCCACTCCCTACGGCTGAGGCTACAAAGCCTGCGGCACCCCCACAGCTGCTCCACAAATGGCTCCCAGAAGTGCTGACTCCCCGGTCCTTAATGGTTGGAGGCCCTGAAGTCGGAGGCCTGGTCTGAGCCGCCTCCGAGGAGGCAGAGCCCCTGCGTCCAGGTGGGGGCTGCTGGGCCTGTGGGCAGAGGGGGTGTCATGGGGCCCATGGGTGAGGAGCCACTGCCGTGGGAAGGAGGCCGCCTGGCCGCTGGGTCACCCTCACGCTCACAGTGAGCTGGGCTTTGTCTTGCCTAGAGGAACAGGAAAAGGAGCTGTGTTGGTTTCCAGTCACAGTGTGGGGAGAGAAGCCCATGAAATCCCCTGGATATGGCTCACAGAGCCAAGAGTAAGTTGCAAAAAGGTGCAGTGCCTGGGCCCCATGGCTGAGTCCTTACTCGCATGCTTGCCAGGGCATTGCTCCCGGCACGAGGCCGCCCGCCTGCAGCAGGCCCGCAGGGGCACGGTGGGTCCCCGCCCGCTCCTCATGCCTTGAGCGCGTCATCCTTCCCGGGGTTCACGGCCTCTGACAGCCAGACCTCAACACGGCCAGCACGGTGTGCATGGTGTGCACGCCTCCTGCGCCGGGGCCACCAGAGTGGGCTCTCACCGGAGGAGAAAGACAGTCGGGGAGAGCAGCGCTGTCTGTCACGCTTTGTCACGCTTTGCCGGTGTCATCTGAGAAGTGGTGCAGGGGACAAGGGGGGCGTGACAGGACTGGTCCTGCGGTAGAGACCCTCTGGGGTGGTGTTCCTGGAACTCTCCCGAAGCCTCTCTTGTTGACATGCATGCCCCACTGAGGAGGGCACACAGCAGAGCTGAGTTATACCCACACCCTGCAATCAAACATGCCCCACATCACACCTGGAGTCACGCAGACCCCAGGCAGCCTGCACAAAATGCCAAACAAGAAAAAACTGCAAGAAAACCACCGCCACACGCCTTTCTAGAACATGCAACCTAAGGATCAAATCCCACAACCAAAGGTGCACAGAGAGGTGTTGGGGAGAGGACAAGGGCAGCCTCCACACTAGAGGACAGAGTGGGGCTGGCATGGCAGCCGCAGGGACACAGCAGGCTGTGGGGCCGGGGGCTGAGCCTGGGTGTCAGCCGGCTGTGGGGCCGGGGGCTGAGCCTGGGTGTCAGCCGGCTGTGGGGCCGGGGGCTGAGCCTGGGTGGCAGCCGGCTGTGGGGCCGGGGGCTGAGCCTGGGTGTCAGCCGGCTGTGGGGCCGGGGGCTGAGCCTGGGTGGCAGCCGGCTGTGGGGCCGGGGGCTGAGCCTGGGTGGCAGCCGGCTGTGGGGCCGGGGGCTGAGCCTGGGTCGCAGTCGGCTGTGGGGTCGGGGGCTGAGCAGGCACTCTTAGGCCGTCTACCTCCGAACCCAGCTCTTCCCTTGTGGCCATGCAGGCTTGGGGAAAATGGCCTCCTCTCTGTGAACCCGGTCTCTGAAATGGGATCAGACCCCGGCCTACACTCTCTCTACCTCGGCTCCTGTCCGATTTCTGAGGTTCAGTGGATTGTCAGGTTGGATCCCCCCAGCTGGTTCAGGAGGCAAACACTGTTATTACTGCCATTTTTCAGATGAGAACCAGCTCATGAGGTCAGAGGGGCGAGCATCTGCCAAGGTCCTCCCTGGCAAGTGGACATGGGCCAGGCAGGACGGCTGCAGAAGCTGAGTGTGCCTCTCCCGCTTCACCACCCCTCGGTGTGAACTCCCTATCTATGAATTTAGAGGATGTCCTGGGTGGGTTCCCTGGAGACTCGAGCCTGAGGAAAGGGTTAAGTGCAAGAGCTTCGTGGGGACTGTGATCCAGGGAGCAGGCGGAGAGCAGAGCAGGGGACAGGCAGGGTGATGACGAGATGGAGCCCTGAGCTGACCGGCCTGGGGACCACTGGGTGTCCCATCCTCTTTCTAACATCGAAAGCTCTGCTCTTCACCCTTGGGCTTCACTGAGGGAACGAAGGGGCGCTCACGTTTATGGAGACTCTTTCCAATCCCTTGGTAGAAGTTTATCCTTTTGATGAAGTTGTTTGCGCACCTTTCAAGGCTCACTGCGGGCATTTCATGTTTCGTGACTATCGTGAAGACATTTTTTCTATCATACTATATTAGTTATTGTTGATGTATAAGAAAACTATTGGTTTGTTTTGATGTTCACCTTGCCCATGCCCATCATCCCCAACTTTTATTTATTCTGATACCTTTGCAGAGTTCTGACTGATTTCTCTTGGAATTTCTAGAGGGACAACGCTGTCATCTGCAAATAACTCAACATGCTTATTCTCCATCTCATTCCTTATCTGATCACATCATCTAGGATCTCGAGAAGTATCAAGTGTTTATTCTTATCAAATTTTATCATTTTCTTTTTGGTGATTTTAAAAGGAATGCAAAATATTTCACAATCTATTTTCAATATTTGGGAGATGACTTTTATGAAGTTAAGAATGCATGCTGGCCAGGCACGGTGGCTCACACCTATAATCCCAGCATTTTGGGAGGCTGAGGTGGGCAGGTCACTCGAGCCCAGGAGTTCAAGACCAGCCTGGGCAGCATGGAGAAACCCTATCTCTACAAAAAATACAAAAATTAGCTGGGCATGGTGGCACGTGCCTGTAGTCCCAGCTACTCAGGAGGCTGAGGCAAGAGGATTGCTTGGGCCCAGGAATTCAAGGTTGCAGTGAGCCATGATTACAGCATCGCACTCCAGCCTGGGTGACAGTGAGACCCTATCTCAAAAAAGAAAAGAAAAGGAAGAAAAGAAAGCATGCTTTGCCCCATAGCAAAAGAGTTTTTATCATCAAGTGTTGAATTTTATTGAACATCTTGGAATTTATTGATGCATCCCATGGCTTTCTGTTCTGATAAAGCAGTGACTTGTGGTCGCTGATGTCCTAATATTGACCCATCTTTATATTTCTGAATGTGATGGGATTCTGAGCCTCTGTATTTCTAGGGGAGACTAGTCTCTGTGTGATGTATGACGAATCAGAAAATTCATTCCTTATCTGATCACATCATCTAGGATCTCAAGAAGTATCAAATGTTTATTCTTATGAAATTTTATCAGTTTTTCTATGATCTGTAAGAATAACTTTGAATGGTGGGTTGTGTGTGTGTGTGTGTGTTTTGATACAGGGTCTTGCTCTGTTGCCCAGGTTGGAGTACAGTGGCCCAATCTCGGCTCACTGCAACCTCTGCCTCCCAGGTTCAAGCGATTCTCCCGCCTCAGCCTCCCGAGTAGCTGGGATTACAGGCACGTGCCACTACACCTGGCTTATGTTTGTATTTTAAGTAGAGATGGGGTTTCACCACGTTGGCCAGGCTGGTCTCGAACTCCTGGACTCGAGTAATCCGCCCATCTCGGCCTCCCAAAGTGCTGGGATTACAGGCGTGAGCCACTGCCCCCCAGCCCACTTTGAATGTTTCTGACCACTAAACAGTAAGGGTTTTGTGTGCATGGGATCATCGACTGTGTGCACTTAGGCATCTGTCTCCTCCCACGCAACCGTGACATTTGTGAGGCTCAGCCCTGCTGTCACACCTTCCTCCTCATTGCCGAAGGTCACCACGTTGTGTTAAACAACCACCGTCTCCATTTGACTGCTGAGGGACACTGGGCTATTTCTGGTTCAGACTGTGATGAACGGTGCTGCTGTGAAGGTTCCTGGACAGGTGTTTTTAGAACATGTGTGGTGGGGCGCATTCCCAAGAGAGGACTTCTTGTCAGATGCATGCATGCTCCACTTTATCAGAGAGGCCACTTCTCCAAAGAGACTGTACAATTTATGCTCCCACCAGCAGCATGGGGACGCTTCGCCCGGTTCTTATCCCCTCCAAGAGCTGGTGTTATCCGTTGTGTTCTTTTTAGCGGATTCTGGGAGATGAGTAAAAGATTAACGTAACCTTCTCTCATCAATATGGACAAGTTAATACTGGTTTAACTTTCTAGCTATGTTTCCCTGAAAATCTAATCAAGGCAGAATGTTACCCAGGACGTGACCCCTGATGGGCGCATTGCACCTAAATTTGCAGGTCTTTGCAGGCACTAGAAATATCTGCTGGGGGCACCCTTGATTTCGGTTGCCCGGGTGCAGTGACCTGCTCCTGGGCATGTTCCTTGATGCGTGCTGCACCGACCCCTCTGGAGCTGAACTAGAGATGGAACCGTAGGCCAGGGTTGTTTCACCCATCCATATGGATCTTGCTCTCCCATATTCCAGCTGCCACTTGATGGGAGAGGGGGAGAGGGGCCAGAGAAGAGGAGGCACCTTTGCTGAAAATCAATTGATCATATACACACGAATCTATTTCTGGATTCTATTCTGTTGTATTGGTTTATATTTGTTTCCTTTTGCAAACTGCACTATTTTGATGACTGCAGCTTTATAATAAAATATTGAAGACAGGGAGTAGCATTCTCCAACTCGTTCTTCCTTTTTCAACCTTGTTTTGGCTATTCTTGTTCCTTTGTGTTTTTATACAGAGTTTGTAATCAGCTTGCTAATAGTTACCAAAAAGCTGCTAGCATGTAGATTGTAATTGTGTTGTATTTATACATAATTTAGGGACAATTGACATCTTCACAACATTGAAACTTCTGATCAAGAATCTTCCGAGTCTTCATATTCCCTGCTGTGGTAAGTATTGCTTTTTGTTTCATTTCTAATTTTTCATCGCTAGTATATAGAAACACAGCCAGTTGTTCTGTGTTGCCCTTATGTCCTGCAACCTTGCTAAACTCACTTATTAATTCTAAAAGTTTGTGTATAGTCTCCTTAGGATTTCCTACAGACAATCATGTCATGTGTGATTAGTCCTTTTTTATTTCTTCTTTTCCAATCTGTACCCCTTTATTTCTTGTTCTTGCCTAATTAAACTAAGATCTCCCATGCAATACTGTATAGAAATGGTGAAAGCAGCATCCTTCTTTTGTTCCTTACCTTGGGAGAAAGATTTCGTTTTACAATATTAAGTATAAAATTATGCTCTTTACCAGGCTGAGAAAATACCCTTCTATTCCTAACTTCCTGAACTTTTTAAAGAATGGGCGTTTAATTTTGCTATATTATTTTTCTGTAGATGTGTATTTTTTGTAGGGAGATGATCCCATGACTTTTTTCAGTTATTCTACTAATAGAGTGAATTATATTGACTGACTTTTGAATGTTAAACCAACCTTGCATCCCTGAGATGGTACCTGCTGGTCAGGATTGTGACGATCCTTTCTCTGCAGTACTGGGTTTTCTTTGCTAACATTTTGTCAAGGATTTTTGCAGGATATTGATCTGCAGTTTTCTTTTCTTGCAGTGTCTCTGTCTGGTATCAGAGTAATAGAGGCCTCACGAAATGAATTGGGAAGTTTCCCTTTCTCCTCTGTGTTCTAAAAGAGCTTCTGTAATTTGCAATTATTCCTTCAATAAATATTTTATAATATTTACCAGTGAAGACATCTGGGCTAGGGGTTTTCCTCCTAAATGGCTTTTAATTGAGTTTAATTTATTCAACAGACATGGAGCTATTCAGTTTTTAAAATTAAAATTGTTCACAAATGGTATTTTATAAATTCTCTATTTTCATAAGTAGCATTTATTACCCTTTTTATTTTTTAAGAGACAGGGTCTCACTCTGTCACCCTGGCTGGAGTGCAGTGGCGTGATCATAGCTCTCTGTAACCTTGAACTCCTGGGCTCAGACAATCGTCCCGCCTTGGCCTCCCAAAGTTCTGGTATTGCTGGCGTGAGACTCTGAGCCTGGCCCATCTTTTTAATATCTGTAGGATCTTTCTTTCTTCTATTTTTTCATTCTTGATATTGGAAATTTACGTCAGTACCCTTTAAAAAAAAATCAGTCTGGGCCAGGCGCGGTGGTTCACACCTGTAATCTCAGCACTTTGGGAGGCCAAGGTGGGTGCATCACTTGAGGTCAGCAGTTCCAGGCCAGCCTGTCCAACATGGTGAAACCCCATCTCTACTAAAAATACAAAAATTAGCCGGGCGTGGTGGCTTATGCCTGTAATCCCAGCTACTCAGGAGGCTGAGGCAGGAGAATCACTTGAACCCAGGAGATGGAGGCTGCAGTGAGCCGAGATCACACCATTGCACTCCAGCCTGGGCAACAGAGTGAGACTCCATCAAAAAAAAAAAAATCAGTCCAGACAGAATTTCCAGAAGACAAAACAAAACAAAAAAACAGCAGCTTTTGGCTTCAGTAATTTTTCTCTACTGTTTTGGTCTGCTTCCTATTTTTCATTAATTTCAGTTCTGATATTTATTATTTCCTTTCTTCTGTTTACTTTGTGCTTAATTTGCTTTTTTCCTGGCTTCTTCAGTTGGAGGCTCAGGTCGTGTCTTTGTGCTCCTTCTTTTCCGCATTTAGTGCTATAAATTTCCCATTAAGCGCTGCATTAGCTTTTCCCCAGAAATTTGGATATGCTGTTATTTTCAATTAACTAAACAAAGTTTTAATTGTCTCCCAAGAGTCATACAATTTATTGAGAAATGTGTTGTTTAAAATTTCAAAATATGTTGGGACTTTCCAGATAACTATTTTTTACTTCTTGCTTAACTCTGTTATGACCTAAAAGCATACTTTGTAGGATTTGTGTTTTTAAAAATTTGTTAAGATATATCTTATGGCCCAGGATATGGTCTATCTTGGTGACGTCCATGCACATTTGAGAAGAATGTTCTAAGCTGTTGCTGGGTGGTGTGTTCTATGAACATCAATCAGCTCTAGGTGCTGGATAGTGTTGCTCATGCCCTCTGCATCATTACTGATTTTTCTGTCCATGTGTCTGACAATTACCGAGAGAAGAGAGATGAAGTCTTAAAGCATAACTGGGGATCTGTCTATTTCTCTTTCCAGTTCGATGGGTTTTTCTTCATGGGGTTTGAAGCCCTGTTGTTTGGTACATGCTCATTTATGACTGTGATGTCTTCTTGGAGCCCTGACCCTCATTATGATGCAAAGTCCCTCATCATCCATGTGGATGCTCCTTCTAGATCTACATCTACATCCACGTAGATGTTGAAATCTATTTGTCAGAGATGAAGCAGCGACTCCACCTTTCTTTTGACTAGTGCTTGAATGGTGTATTATGTTTAACTCTATATATGCCTTTAGATTCAAAGTGCATTTCTTGTAGCCACGATATAGTTGAATCCTGCTTTTTAAAATCCAATATGACAGGTCAGGCGTGGTGGCTCACGCCTGTAATCCCAGCACTTTGGGAGGCGGAGGCGGGCAGATCACGAGGTCAGGAGATCAAAACCATCCTGGCTAACACAGTGAAATCCTGTCTCTACTAGAAATACAAAAATATCAGCCAGGCATGGTGGTGAGCGCCTGTAGTCCCAGCTACTCAGGAGGGTGAGGCAGGAGAATGGTGTGAACCCGGGAGGCAGAGCTTGCCGTGAGCCGAGATGGCGCCACTGCACTCCAGCCTGGGAGACAGCGCGACTCTGTCTCAAAAAAATAAAAAAATAAAAATAAAATAAATAAAATCCAACCTGACAATCTATCTTTTAACTGGTATGGCTAGACCATCCACATTTAATAGATTATTGATACAATTGGATTTTAAGCTACCATTTTGTCACGTGTTTTCTATTTGTTACATGTTTTTTGCTTCTTTTGCTCGCTTTTCTGCCTTCTCTTGGTTAACTGAGCATTACTTTATCATTCCATTTTATGTCCTCTTGTCCTATAACTTATACCTCTGTTAGAAAATTGTACTCACTGTCCTAGGGTTAAGTCTTAAATTAATCAAAGTTTACCTTCGGATAGTATGAGACTGCTTCACGTATAGTGTAAGGACCCCACAGCAGTATTTTCCCAACAATTTCTTCCATGCTCTGTGAATTATCATCACATGGTTTACCTTGGAGCATGTTATCAACACAATACAACACTACCATTTTCCCTTTAGATAGTTGGCATTTGCAGCAATTACAATTTTTAATTATTTCTTCCATTTCTATACTCTATTACTCTTCATGTCTGAAGGAAATAATGTATACAGTGGTCCAATTCCAAGACAAAGTGCCTTGAATTGGCTTAGGTCAGCAAACTGCAGAAGAAACAGGATATCCTAGGCCCCTGCTCGGATAGCCAACACCTGCTTCTTGGCCTCCCCCTTCCCCCCTTAATTTTTAAAAGTTATTTTCACTAGTAAAGAATTCTGAATCAGGCCACGAGTGGCAGCTCACGCCTGTAATCCCAGCACTTTGGGAGGCCGAGGTGGGCAGATTATGAAGTCAGGAGATTGAGGCTGCCATGGCTAACATGGTGAAACCCCATCCCTACTAAAAATACAAAAAATTAGCTGGGCATGGTGGCAGGTGCTTGTAGTCCCAGCTACTCAGGAGGCTGAGGCATGAGAATGGCATGAACCCGGGAGGCAGAGCTTGCAGTGAGCTGAGATTGCGCCACTGCACTCCAGCCCGGCCGACAGAGCGAGACTCCGTCTAAAAAAAAAAAAAAAAATCTGAATCAGCACTTTTTTTTCCTTTCAGTACTTGAAAGCCATCCCTCCATCATCATCCACCTTGCATAGTGTCTGCAGATAGTTCTGCTGTGCTTCTTATCTTGGTTCTTCTCGCGTCTCATGTGTCCCTCTCCCTCCCTTCTCCTCCCAGTTCCTTTAGAGAGTTTCTGCATGTCTTTTTCCCCAGCTGCTTGAATATGCACAGGTTTCTGTGCTTTTTTTTTGTTTCTGTTCTATTTTGTTTGTTTTACTTTTTTGCTGTTTTACCTGATGGATGTTGTCTGAGTTTCTTTAATCTGTGCTTTGATGTCTGTCATTGATTTTGGAAAATTATTGACCATTATTTCTTCAAATATTCCTTGTCCACCCCCTCACCATCTGTGATTCCAATTGTATTATGTTACACTACTTGAGATCGTATTGTAATCCCTCGGAAACACGCTCTATGTTTTTCCTCTTATCTCTTTGGTTTTCCATTTGGATGATTTCTATAGAGCTATTTTCAAATTCATGGATTTCTTTGGCTAAGTCAAGTTTACTGACAAGCTTCTCAAAGCCATTTTTCATCTCTTTTACTGTGTTTTCATTTTTAGCATTTTCATTTTGTTCTTTCTCACAGTTTCTATCTCTTTTCAAGACAGCATATTATTTTAAGCAAAGAAATGGAAATAAGCTAAGTCTCATGAATGGTGGAAGAATTGACAAATAAGCTAAGTCTCATTAATTTTAGGGAGACTTAGCTAGTTTCATTCAATCATTTATGTAAATGTGTTCATCCTGGCATAGAAAGAGCTAGAACAGAAATTGAGCTTTAAAAGCAAGTTTCAAAACCATGGATATTATCTCATGTATGCTTTGTTTTTAAAATTCCACAAAGCAACATAATATTTCTAGAGTAACAAATATCTACAAAATGCATTTTGTAAAACAGCCTGGAAGGAAAACCCACAGAAGATGATAAGGGTTCGGTTTGGCAGGAGGCAGGGTTGGGACTCCAGCTTTACTGGTCACATGTGGAGTTTTTACAGTGAGGTTGTGTCCTGTGTGAGCTATGTGTCTTCAGACAACTCACCCTGTGATTGGGTGGATGATGCGGCAGAGAAGGGAGCACAAAGGGCCCTGGCAGGTGCAGGTGGAGGCAGGGCTGAGGCCAGGTCTGCTCTATGTCAAGAGGAGTGCAGCCTCTCACAAAAGCTGAACAATTCCTAGGCTCCTGCGCACTGCGGGTTGTAACCACGGCCCGGGCAGCTCCTCTGAGCCTGAGTGCAGCCCCTTCCCTGTCTGTACCACCTCTCCCTGCAAACCCATCAACCCCATCCCAGGCCCCACCTGCCCAGGAAGCAAGACAGACACCTGTGGTGCAGGCCCCAGACTTGAGGAATCTGCTACCGCTTCTTAGAACCCAGACACGGTCCTAAGCCTGCTCCACCTGCTCCACCCCAGGACCTCTGCCGGAGCTGCCCTCGGTCCTGGATGCTCTCTCCTCCCTGCGCACCCCACAGCCCATTCCTCCACAGCCCATGAGCCCTCCCCTGGTCCCTGCAATGAGCCATGGCCACTCCCCTGCTCCCCACACCTGTGCTCCAAGGCCCCCCAGGGACCTGGCACGTCCGTCTCTTTGGGGGCACTGGTTTGAGCCTGCCCCTACCAGAGGGCACAGAGCCTCCAGGACCCTGGTGGAGGGACAAACAGGGCCGAGCAGAGCTCCATGTGGACGCTGGGCGCTGCCCTCAGAGCACCTGCAGGCGTCTGTGCAGAAGGGCCCGGGAGGAGGTAAGGCGAATGGAGAGACTTTTGGTCTTATTTTCTACGTGTGTTTCTGCATTTTCTGTTGATTTTTCTGTGGTTATCACATATTACTCGTGTCTACAAAGGAAACAATACAACTCTAATAGAAAGAGGGGATGCTACAGAGCCTATGGGGACACAGCCATGAGGCCAAGGTAAGGCCCCAAGTGAAACGAATGAGCAAAAAGAGTTCGTACAGCTACCAGGTAAGCAGTCACATGTGTTTCATAGTAGCTGTGTCTCCTACTGATCACACCCCCATAGTCCCCAAAGGTGGAGAGTGGGGCAGGAGAGAGGTAGGCCAACTCAGGCCACAGGTGGGCTGGCACCCGCCCTGCCCCAGCCCCTCCCTCCTGGGAGCCGCAGACAGGCCCCCAGGGCAGTGCATCAGGCCACACCTGCAGAGACCTGCTTCCCCTGGCAGCAGGCACCTGCCCTGACGGAAGACTTAGGAATGGGTTGGGTTGGGTGGAAGTGGTGCCCCAGGGCAGGTGAGATGGAAGAGGTGAAAGAGACCTGCACTGCAGGGTTAATGGACAGGGGCCAGACAGACCAGGAGCCTCGGGAGGAGAAGCCACCAGGACCCAGGACACATGAACACCCCTGACACACACTCACACGCACACAGGCTGACACACATGCACACACTGTACATAGTTACAGAAACACACACATGCACACACACAGCACAGAGAGACATGCACACACATGCACACAAGGTACGGTCACAGACACACACACAGCAGACACACAGACACACCCACTGCACTGCAGAGACACCACCAAACCCTGATAGACACACACAGACTCACTCCTCCATCCACCTGAGAAACAAAAGTTTTGCAGAAGTGTGCGATGACCACTTCTACTCTATGCTGTTCTCCTTAATCTTTTTATTTTTAAAAAATGTGGGTCATAATCCTTTACATTGATTTCCTTCCTCACAGTGCACCGCAAGCACTCAGGGAAGGACTCCAGGTTTGAAGGCAGATGCTGGTCGGGACCCGACCAGGTGGCTGGGCGGGAAGAGGTGAGATCGGGCAGGATTGGGCCTGGGAAGGCTGAGGCAGGCAGGGATGATGCCAGCAGAGGAGAATCCCAAGCAGGCCCCGCGGCTGCGGCTGGAGAGCTCCAGGGGCGGAGAGGAGGTGGGAGGCAGCAGTCAGGTTGGGAGGACCCTGGCAAGCAAGCCCAGAGAGGAGGGCCGGGAGGGCCGGGCACTAGAAGTGTGAAGTCACTGCTGCCTCCTGGGGCTGCTTCAGAGGATGGGTGGGGCCACGTGTGGGGAGATCAGGGAGACTGGAGACTACGCTGTTTGGTCCAGGCATAGGAGATGAGCCCTGGCCGGGAAGGGACAGTGTGGATGGGCCAGGCGGAATCAGAGGGTTTCAGAGAAAGCCGTCAAGCCAGTGCCATGAGTTTCGCGCACACGAGGAGGGAGCAGGCTGGGGGGTGTTGCTGGTGTGAGGGCTCTCTGGTTGCAGGGAGCGGTCCGGTCGGGTGGGGGCACAGCTGCCAGGAGGAAAGCGCCCAGGGCCTGCAGGTGGGGCTCAGGATGCTGGCCCTGAAGAAATAGAAACAGGGTTTTCACCTGGGAGGGAGGAGGAGCCTGGGAACTGGGGAGGAAGAGGCTCTGCTGGGCCGCGCCCTGGGAACAGGGGGACCTGGGGACAGATCTGGCCCTCGCACGCCCCTCCTGTCTCGCGTCCGTCCCTCCGTGCAGCCGGGGCAGGACCCTGCAGGGGCCTTGCGGGCCGGAGGTGCCGGCTTCCTCCTCCGTCCCGTCCCCCCCGCGGTGACTCTATTCAAATCTCCCCCCTTCCCGCTGCCCCACCGGACTCAGGGGCTGGGGTCGTAGCCCGGCGGGCAGCGGTGTTCACCTTCCGCATAAACCTGGGCTTCCTCGCGGGGCAGCCCCCGGGCCCTGTGCTGGGTCGCAGCCTCGGGCGGTTCCCTCGGGGCGGGACGTGTCCCCGTCCGTCCTCGCCCGTCCCCGCCGCCCCCGGGTCCCGGCCCGCCCCGTCCTCGCAGCCGCAGGTCCGCTGCGGCGCCCGCCCCCCTCTCCCCTCCCCGGGCCTTGCCCTGCTCGTCGCTCCGCCCCCTGCCCGGCCCCTGCCCGGCCCCGCCCCGCGCCCGCCCCCTGCCCGCGCCCGCCCCGCCCCCTGCCCGGCCCCTGCCCGGCCCCTGCCCGCCCCCTGCCCGGCCTCCCAGCGGCGGCGGCTGCAGCGCGGCGGTCCGAGCGGGTGCACCGCGGCGGAGGAGGCAGCATCCCGCGGCGCTGACGGTCCTGGGGAGAGCATGGCGCCGAGGTGAGGCCGGGGCTGCGGGCAGGGGTTGGGGGACGCCAAGATGCGGCTGCGGGGGTCGCGGGGGTCGCGGGGCTCGGCCGGGTCCTGCGGGGGTCGCGGGGGTCCTGCGGGGTCTGACCCGTGCCTGTCCCGCGCAGGTGCCCCTGGCCATGGCCGCGGCGGCGGCGCCTCCTGGACGTGCTCGCGCCCCTGGTCCTGCTGCTCGGGGTCCGCGCGGCCTCCGCGGAGCCAGGTAAGACCCGGGCGGGACGGGAAGGTTCGCGCCGGTGCCCGCCGGCCTCGCCGCCCTGGCTGGGGTCCCCGCCCGGCTCCCTCACCCCCGCCCCGGCCGCTCTGGGTTCAGCCCCGGCCCTGCCCACGCGCGCAGGAGGCGCCGGAGCCGGACGGAGCGGGGCGGGGTGGCCGGAGTCCCGCCCATTCATTCTCCCCGCGGGGTCCGGGCCGGGAGGGGTGCGCGGTGCGAGCGGCCGGAGTCCCCGCGCGGGGACCGAACCTCCGCGGCCGGCGGGGTCGTCGGTGCCGGGAGGGCTCGGGGCGGGGCCGCGGGGTCTCGGGAGACGCGGCCTCTGTCGCCGTCACGGCCTCGTCCCCGCAGCGCCGGGTCCCGGGACTGACCGCGGGCGGAAGGCGGCGGAGCGCGGGGCGTCGTCTCCGCGTTTCCAACCTGTTGAGGCTCCTCGCCGCGGGCCGGGCCTTGTGCGCCTCTGTCCCCGCCGCCCTCAGGCCTCTGTCCCCGCGCCCGCCGTGGTGTCGGGTTGCGCGGTCCCCTTTGATGCCAACCGAGCGCCGCGCGGTCCGAGAACAATGCCCAGAAGCCGCTGCCCCGCCGGCCTCGCCGCTTCCCGTGCGCGGCAAACGGTGCGCGGGGCCCGTGGGGACCTTCCTGCCTCCAACCCCGGGACCCAGTTCCCCACCACCTGCTAACCGGGGCCTCCTGCCTCCAGCCAGCCCAGCAGAGGCCCGGGGGAGGCGGCGGGGACGCGGACCCCAGGGGAGCCCCGCCCAAAGGGCCTGGGTGCCTTGTCGCGGGTGGAATCCCACCCGGGGGTCCACGCAGCCAGCGCCTGCCTCCGACTCGACTCCACACCTGCTTGCTACAGCGGGTGAGGAAGCAGGAAAGGGGGAGGGAGGGATGTCGTCTGGATTCCTGTAATAATTTGTTTCATTGTTTCCAATCGACTTAGTCACCAGGTTAAATAGTAGCATAGACCTTTCAAAAAAGTAGCTAGCTTATAAGTAGATGTATTGAAAACACCTGCTTGTTGAGTCGTAGACAATTCCTCATTTACTGTGTGAACTCTAGGGGGTGAAACACGGGCGGAGAGCGGCTGTGAGCTCACGCGGCTCCATCCCCACAGCGGCCCAGGGTCACTCGGGGCCATTAATCAGGCCGCAGAGCTGCCCTCTGAGCCGGGCCGCCAGCGCCCACAGGGCCCAGACCAGGGCTCCCTGGGCGGGATGTTTTAAATCGCACAGGGACAAAGGAAAGGAAAGACGCTGGGGCCCAAGCCCGAGCTTATGAAACGTTATCAAGGAGGAGATGTAAAAGGTGATGGTTTTTTTGCCTTTGAATAGAAAAAACAAAAACTGTTAACGCGAGCTTTGGTGAGATGCAATCTTGAGATCTAAGAGTGGGGTGTAAAGTCAGTGCAGGCCTCAGCAGGGAAAGTTACGGTTGGCCAAATGGGCTGTGCGTTCCTCTTCTGTCCCGGGCCTGCCCCAGCCTCAAGCACTCTGGGGCAGGAAGGCCCCTTGGAGGTGTCTAATGGAATGTGGAAGGCGGGTGGCCAGGAGGCTGAAGCGGAAGCAGGCCCAGAGAGGGGTCTGCATGCTGCCCACACACCCCTCCCCCAGCCCGGAGAGAACTCAGGCTCCAGGCCACCCGCAGCCCGGGTTCCAGTCCTTGCAGGACCAAGTCCCCCTGAAATGGGAAAACAGTCGCCCCCTTTAGGGGTTATTGGAGAAGAGCTAATGTGTCTGAAATGCTGACTCTGGCGAGGGTTTCAGTTGTTCTCAAAACTTAAAAAGCACCCTTGAGAGTTGAAGGCCTGAGGCCCAGTTTGCTGATTTGCACATTTTTTTCTGGCCAAGAATGATGCATCTTTCCATGTCTCTGTGCTACACTTGATCCCTAGAAAAGTCTTTTGCTTTTTTGTGTCAGGATTGGTCGCTGTGATGCTGAGGTTCTTGAATGGTGTTTGTGCCTTTCCCTGTAATCAGGAACCTGGGCTCAGTGGTCACTTGGCCGCTTGGTTGCCACCCAGCTGTGTGAGGTGCCGCAGTCTTACCTGCAATCTCTCCTCTGGTGGATTTGTGTGTGCGAAACAGCCGTGACCCCCAAGAGGTGCTTGTAGTCAGTGCTTCAGAGTCAGAGTGGAGCTGAGGAAGAGGACTGTGTCACCGGGGCAGTTGCTGATGCCCATGGCCACGCCAGGAGCCTGGTCTCATGAGTCTCCTTGTCTCTGAGCCTCTCCTACACTCCACCATGGCATCAAGCTCTACCCCTGCCTCCCTGCAGCCCCCAGAAGATGCATGTCCTGCCCCTGCTCACCACTAGGACCTCCTCCTGTCTGGTGGTCAGCACAGAGCCCAGTGATGTGGGTACAAGGCAGGGTCCCTGCGCCTCACTTCCCACTCCCTCTGAAGCCCTGCAGGGATTGGGCTTCAGTGACCTGGGTTCCGTGGGTGTGGCTCACCCCAGGGCACACGGCGCCTAGGTAACGAGAGACCCTCCCGCGTAGAAGGTGGTCTTGTTTCTGGGCTCACCCACTGGGGAGTCTTCAGGATTCAGATGCAAGGACTTTGGAAGATAGTTTTGAATTTCAGCAAAACTTGTTTTTCAGGGCACTCCTGTTTTCCTGTAAATGAAAGCAGAGCAGGGGAAGTCCTCTGTAGGAAAACCTAGAAGGAGTGAACTGCCCTGCTCCAGAGTGCAGGCGCCAGACACTGGGGGCCAGTCCAGGAGAGCCCCACTTCACCTGCTGCTGCTCCATTTAAAAGTGCAAGGCACATGCATACACGGGCATGCACAATTGTGCACACAGGTGCACATTCCCAGTCACGCGAAGTGCAGGGGCACAACTGTGTACATGCACACACACACAAAAGTGCACATGTGTGTGCACACACATGCCCCCCGCAGGCGTGTGATTCTCACAGTCATGCTGCATCCACACAAAGTCTTCCTCCCTCAGAGTGCCTTGTTCTGTCTTCACCTGGATTGTTGAAAAGGCTGGGGGCTGGGTTCTTTGGGCCCCGGGAGTGCCAGGGGATCCTGTGGTATGATCAACAGCACCACCGCCCTGGGAGCAGCTCCTGATTGCTGGGAACAGACAGTAGGGGCTGGGCTGGGGTAGAAGCTGCAGCCTGCAGGCAGCCCAGAGAGAGGGGCCCCCACAACACCCTCCCCAGCCCCCGCTGATTGTGTGGGGGCAGGGAGTATGCAGGCAGCTCGGAGAGAGGGGCCCCCACAACACCCTCCCACCCCCGCTCACTGTGTTGGGGGAGGGGTGCCTGCTTCTGCTCAGGAAGGAGACCCGGCTGGGTCTGGCTGTGGAGCGTATGTTGGAGACCCGAGGCCACCCTGGAACTCTCCAGGTGAAGCCTAGGGATCCAAAGAACCTCACAGCTGTGGGGGATGGAGTGGGGCAACACCTGAAACCTCCAGCAAGTCTCTTCCTCTCTCAGCCCCAGGCCTGCAGAGGAGGGTGTGCCAGCCAACTGGGCCTTTGTGCCGGCACTGGCTCCCCACCAGTGCTCAGGGGTCAGGTGCAGAGGCTGGCAGGGACAAAGCTGGCTGTGGCTGTGTCTGGAGGGGCTGGCCATGGCCCTCACCCCACCCCCGGCATGGGGCACTGGACCATGCAGAGAAGGGGCCACCCCAGTGCCTGCCAGGGCCAGTCAGAGCTGCCACCCTCCAGGCTGTCTGTTAGCGGGTGCCTGTCAGAGAACAAGACGACAGGCCTGGCCAGGCCCAACCCCACAGCGAGATTTCAGCGGCTGGCCAGTGGCAGACGGCGCAGGGTCTGAGACAGATATTCCCTCGTATGGTGCTGTGCAGGGCAGGGGCAGAATCCTGGGAAACTAAAATGCATGTTGGGCGCCCTTATACGATGATGATATTTGGTACATTTTGAAATACTGTGGCCCATGAAGATCCTGAAAGCAGTTTGGGGCACTGTGGGGTGTTCTGTGGCCTCTGGGCTTGGGTGCTCCTCTTATCCAAGGCCTCCCAGGCCTGGGAGTTTGGGGTCTAAGGCCCTTTTCAAGGCCCAGGCACCTGCCCAGAATGACTGGGCAGCTGAGACCCGCCTGCTGGGAGCCTTGCCAGGGCCAGCACTGGGCGGTCACAGGCCAGAGCCCTGCACCAGGCGGTCATAGGCCAGGACCTGTCCAAGGCAGCGGAGTGCCAGGCAAGTGAAGCCCTGCCATCTGGTGCCTGAGCGCAGACCCTGCTCCACGGCCAGTGGCTGTCACCAGCCTTGCTGCCTCAGTTTCCCCTCCTTAACCCCGGGGCGGGAGTGGCTGCTTCCTCTAGGGGTTCTGTGAGCGGCCGCTGGCAATTGTGTAAAAGCCACATACCACACACTGGATCTTTGTGCCAGATCCCGTGTCACGTGAGGAGACAGCCAGCCCAGGCAGGGAGCTGATCTGTGTTGTCCCCTGGCGCTGCCCGGGGCCACAGAGAGTGAGGGAGCGGTGCTTACCGGCCCTGGCGGTAACGTTTTAGATGGCGAGTTTGGGCCTCTGCAGAAGGGCTGTCAGGAGGAGCTTTTGATCACGGATGCGCTGAGTCAGATGAAATGTGGAGGCTGCAGGGGAAGTGTCTGTGCCCCGTGCCTGCAGGAGCACGCCTTCCCCCCGCAGCTCCTCCGGCGCGGGCAGGCCCCGGCACGGCCTTTCTGGCTTCTTCCACAGGAGCCGTGGAAAGGGGAATTATTCTCAAGCCCCTGCATCTTTCTGGCACTTTCTGGCATTTCATGGTGGCAGATGGGGTCACCTCGCCACCTCGGGGCTGATCCCCTGTGGGCCCCTCGTTCCCACAGGAGCCTTGTGATGGGCAGGGCAGGCACCAGCACCAGGCTGGGTGGCGGTTTGGCTCTCACCACGCCGGCTTCCAGAAGGCCAGCAGGCTTGCGAGTGGGCACACGCTGGTGCTGGGGCCGGGCACTGGTGGGGGGTCAAGGGCTGACCCTGCGGGGACCCCTGCAGACAGACACTGGGCCAGAGCCACAGGGAGGAAGGCCAGTGGGAACGGCAGGAGGAGGGAGCGTGATTGGTTACGGTGGCGGAACTCGCACCCACCCCCGCAGCCGTTTGTTCGTTTGCTCATTTATTTTTGGTCTGAAGTCCATGCTTTTGTATTTCCCCACCGTTCCGTTGAGCAGCTTCAACATTTGCCGCAGTTAGGCCTCTCTGGAATCTGTGCTTAGAGATTGTGAGACAGGGTCAAGTTTCAGCAGCTCGGACTCCTCTGTCTGCAGAGAACCTGCCAGCACAGCTGCTCCTGGGGGCAGGAGAGGCACTGTCTGTTTTGGGGTGACGTGAGCTGATGGGAAAGCCAGGCTGGACATAGCTCCTGGGCCGGCAGCCCATCTTGGTGGCGGCTTCACGCCGTCTGGCATCTCCGGTCCTGGAGCATGAGGGCTCAGGAAGAGCCTCTGATTCGGCTGCTCTGGAGGCCTCGTCTGGACACACCTGGGCAGGCCCGAGTCCACACACCCTATGGCCTCAGGAACCGAGAGAGACCTTCCTTCCATGTTTCAACTTAGACAACAGGAGACTTTGTTTTGGGAGGAATCACTCAATTCAGGTGGACGCTGCAGCTGGGCGGGACATCTGGCCTCTCCCTGTGGCAGGGAGGGGCATGGGAGAGACAGGGGTAGTGTCCCAGGAACTCCGTGGGCCTGTGGCGAAGTCCCAGCCCTGCAGCTGCCAGTGCAGGGTGTTATCCAGGGGCAGGACATCGTCTGCAGTGGCTCTGCCTTCCCCGATGCCAGGTGACCCCATGGAGCCAGTGTCTGTGACCTCTTCCATGCTGGGGCTAAAGAGGCCAGCAGGATTGGGGGCTGGCATTAGTGGAGAACCTCAGAGCCCAGGGCTGTGGGCTGATGGGTGGCGAGGCCCCCGCCAGCTGCTTGGGGATAGCCCAGCCACTGTTCTTGGTCCACCCGGCCTTTGATTCCTTTTTCCTGTGTGCATTTTTGAGCACCTTCTGTGTGCGAGAGGCCGTGCCTGCCCGAGAAGAGAAGGAAACACCACAATGAGCCTCGGACACCCACAGTCTGAAGGGCCCGGAGTAAGCCTCAGACGCCCACAGTCTGGAGGGCCCGGCGCTGTGAACGAGCAGTCACAGGGAACAGCGTGCCCTTATCGCTGACACAGGCTCTGGAGGGCCCGGCGCTGTGAGTGAGCAGTCATAGGGAACAGTGCACCCTTATCGCTGACACAGGCGAGGGCTTCGTCTTCTCACAGCTCTTATCTTGGGTGTCACCCCAGCCAGAGTCAGGGCTGATGGCGGGGGGTGGGGGGGGGGCAGGCTGTGGTCAGGGACCTGCAGGAGAGGGGAGGGCCTCGCTTCTGATGGGCGACGTTCATTTACACACAGCTCTGCGGCCCAAACGGCCAGGCTGGATCCTGTCTTTTAAAAACCTTGCTAATTTGGTTGATGGAAAATATCATCTCAGAGTTCTGTTTTGTGAGTCCCCATTGCCATGCGGGCAAACATTTTCATCCACTAAGGGGCCGTCGTGTTTCTCTGGGAACGTGGCGTTCACCGTGTGGGTGAACTTTTTCACGCACTAAGGGGCCGTCGTGCTTCTCTGGGAATGCCGGGTTTGTGGCTCGTGCCCACTGCCCTGCAGGTGCATTCTCTTTCCCCGTAGCTTTTTGTCTGTTGATGCTTTCAGCTCTGGATGTCCTATTTTGCGTACTTTTATTGTTTATGGTCAGCCTTTAACTGGGGGTATGATATTTCTTTAACTGGGGGTATATTTCTTTTTTTTTTTTTTTTCGAGATGGAGTCTGGCTCTGTTGCCCAGGCTGGAGTGCAGTGGCGTGATCTTGGCGCCCTGCAACCTCCATCTTCCGGGCTCAAGCGATTCTCCTGCCTCAGCCTCCTGAGTAGCTGGGACTACAGGTGTGGGCCACCACGCCTGGCTAATTTTTTTTTTTTTTTTAAAGTAGAGACGGGGTTTTGCCATGTTGGCCAGGCTGGTCTCAAACTCCTGACCTCAGGTGGTCCACCTGCCTCGGCCTCCCAAAGTGCTGGGATTCCAGGCGTGTGCCACTGTGCCCAGCCATGGGGTATATTTCTTAATGTGTGGAGTTGTTTTTCCTCATTTTTCTGGTCCCTTTAGAGATGGCACCCTGGAGTGGCCAGCAGAGCTCAGGGGCCTGCGGCCCAGGCACACAGACAATGGAGCTGGCCCTGCCACTTTGCTCATCTGTGGTGCAGGTCTGCTGAGGGGCCGTGAGGGTCCTGCAAGTGAAGGTGCTTGAGGCCTCAGTGCCTGTGGGGAGGCCACGTGGCACCTGTCAGCTGTTAGCGTCTTGACTCTGCCTTTGTGGATATGGAATTAGAGATGCTTCTCACAGTAGTGGCTAAACTGTCAGGAAGCCTGGCCGTCATCTATGGTCCTCTTTGCCCTCATGGGTGGGATGCCGCCTAGTGTGATGGCTGAGAGCTCAGGCTGTGACCCTGAGTGTGTGTGGCCACGGGCAGGCTGCTCACCCTCTCCGTGTCTTGGTCTCTAATCTGTGCCTGGGGATGGTGGAGCGTCATGGGGCCATACAGGAAGGATGGGACATCACACATCGGCTTCCTGGGGTGTGTCCTGCTGACAGCCCTCTGAGGCCAGCCGGTCCTGAGGCTCTAGGGGGGACGCCACAGTGGAGAGAGGGCTCCATCCCCACCCTTAGGGCAGAGCCCCGTAGGAGGGACTGGTTTGCAACGTGAGTAAAATGGGTCCCCGTGAGCAGACACAGCTTTTGTGCTGCTTCTTACTGAGCCCCGCGCTGTGCCTGCTGAACTGAAAGATGTGTATTAGAGAGGGCAGCCATTCCCACCTCCTCCAGCCGCGCTACGTGTCCGCAGGCCAGGGCGCCTGCACCATGACAGGCTTCAACGCCCCTGTCGCGGGGACCCAGGGAACACCTGTCTCCTCCACTTGCTGGATTTGTGACTGGGCGGCAAACATTTTCTAAAGTCTCCCGCTACGACCCCTCGGCTGTCAGGAGACTTCTGAGAAAGCCGGGCCTCTTTTGCCCCAGCGAGGAGCTTTCTTGTGAAGAGGCAGTTCCCGGAGGGAGGCGTCTGTGCTTTGTAAAGTTTAGCCTCATGTGCTGCCTCTGAGGAGGAGTTCAGAGAACATCCGCTTCCTTTCTGTTATCATCTCAGCCTTCCAGCCAGAAAGAAGGAAGCGTCCATGGATCCCGTCCACGCTAACCTTGGGGTCCCTCTGCCAGCCCTGCACATCCTTGTCCCTGGGCACTGAGGGAAGCAAAGGCCCCGCCAGCCATGCCCAGCACTTGTGCCTGGGCCTTTGCAGAGGCTAGAGGCAGGGTAGAGGATGGAGAGGGTTTAAAAGGCAGGTTCCCAGGAAATTCCCTAGGTGTGGGATTGGAGGGGTGCTGAGGGAGGTGGCGGACCCTCAGGGGCAGGAGCCTTATGGAGTGAGCTGGTCCATGGAGCTGGGAGGCGTCTTCTAGTATAAATTCTCATTTCAGCTAAACAGCTTGCCCTCTCCAAGCCCGTGTGCACCTGAACCATCTCTGCTCTCTGAGCCTTGGTCCCTTGGAGGAGCAGGAGGAGGTGGAGGAGGAGGATCGGGAGGAGGAGGGGGAGGCCCTTTCTGTATTGGATGCACCGCCTGGCCCCAGGCCCTCCTGCCCAGCCTTGTGGCTCTGGCCGTCAATCAGCTCCCTTCTCCTGGCTTTGCTGCTGCCCTGCCTCTTGCTAGGAGGCCATGGTGTGCCTGTGCCTGGCAGGCAGTGTTGCTGCTGACCTCTCATCTGTTTTGGGTCCCCAAATCTCAGCCCTGTCTCCCTTTCGGGGGCACATCTTGATGCGGGGTCTCTGATCCCCTCGGGGCAGCAGGACATCCCTGTTTTCCAGCTGAAATGAGACTTCACCCCCAAAGGAATGGGCTCCAGTCCGACCTACTCAGGTTGTTAGTCACACGTTTCTATTGTGAAAATGACTGAGAATGTTGTGGGAGGTTTGGAAACCAGGAAGACCACCTGTCCCAATTCAGCCTTTCCTGTCATCACAGGGGACGTCTGGCATTTTAACAGACCTGGGCGGCCTCCTGCAGACAAGGCTCGGACCCTGCGGCCGACTCTGCCCCAGGCCTGGCCCCTGCTGATGGCCATGCTCCGGGCATGTGGCCTGAGGGCCTCACGGACAGCCAGCCTCCCAGACCAGAAAACAGCCCTGCCCGCCAGTGAGAGGGCAGACAGATGGACACTAATGTCCCCGAACCTAAGAAACAAAACCCAAAACCCTCATTTATGCTTCCACTTCCGATCACACGCATAGAAGGCCGAATACTGACCCCGAGCTGACCACCCCGGCCTGTGGGACCCGTGAGTATGGCCTGTGTGTGGGATGAGGCTCAGGATCAGGTGCAGATGACCCTGGATTATCAGGTGGGCCCCACGTCATTACGAGGGTCCTTATAGAGAAGGGGCAGGACAGGGAGAGGAGGGGATGATGGAGATGGAGCCGCTGGGGAGGGCATGAGAAGACCAGGAAGTGGGTTCCCCCTGGAGCCTCCAGAGGACCCCTGCGGGCACCGTGACTTCTGACTTCCAGTCTCCTGAGCTCTGAGGGATGCCTGTGTTGCTTTAAGACACTGACTGACTTGTCCCAGCAGCCAGAGGTGACAGTGCGGCGTGGTGTTGGTTCACCGAAGGGGTGGCATTAGTGACCATGGGAATAAGGGCCTCTCACCTGCGAAGGGCCACTCTGTGGGGCAGGAAGTCTTGGATGTGTGCCGGCTTCAGCAGGACCCTCAAGGCTGCTGGGGGTCAGAATACGAGCACTTCCTGCACACCCAGGGCCACCCCAGGCTGCAGGCTTTGTGGAGACTTAAAGATGAGTCCTCGGCCTTCGGAATCTCCTGACTCAATGGAACCTCTGGTCTTCAGGTCCCCAGGATGACCTCCCAACAGGCCCAGGGCAGCAGCCAGGAGCTGGACACCCAGGGCTCAGAGCTCAGGACCGGCTGCCACGGGTGGGGCAGGAGGAGGGGCAGGACCATGCGCAGGGGCGGCGGAGCGGGGCTGTGAATGGAGCCCCCCTTCCGGAAGATGGATGCAGGTGGGAACCAGCGTGGTGTGGAGTTGAGAGCGGGGGTGCGGCAGGCGGCCGGGGCAGGCCCCGGACGGGAAAGTGCAGGCGGTGCCATTGATCAGACCCTGGCTGGGGGCCTGGGGTTCACGCCTTGCCTGGCCTTCAGAGAGGTGCGAGCTCTACTTTTGGAGAATGAGGCAAAGGCGCAGAAGCACTCCCGGAAAGTGCCATCCAGCCCAGTGCCTGGCGCTGCAGCCGGGTGGAGCCCCAGGTGGTGCTCACGCAGCCAGGCGGGCATGGTGTGTTGGGGGTTTTCATAAAGAAAAGCTGACCAGGCACGTGCCAAGCAGGCCCTCAGCCCTGAGGGTACTTGCCGGGGGCCGGGAGAGTGTGGGCCCCCGCTTATCCAGAACACTGCGTGGGCCCTCGGCTATCTGGAATGCCTCGCCGGGCCTTTCAATTATCCAGAACACACAGCCAGACCCCTTCTGTTATCCGGACTGCCCAGCAACACCGGGCAGGTATGCCTCTGTGACCCTGACCCAGCTGAGTTGGGAACGTGGCCACACCGGCCCTTCCTGTGGGGCCCGTGAAACCTGTGAATCACGCCTCTCATTGGCATCTGGATCGTGGCTCCCTAGACCCGGCTTTTTAAACCTATTCTTGGGGAATGGGGACCTTCTCTGAGGTCCATCTTGGTCAGGAGCAGTAGGGCCGGCCAGCCTGGATCTCTGTCCTGCAGCCCACTTTCTGGCCAGGAGACTGGGGCAGCACACACAGTCTTGCCATGCCCAGTGTCCTTTGTGAACTGGGGCCGGTGTGGGGGTGGCCGGGGCACAGTCTCCCCACGCCTGGTGTCCTTTGTGAACTGGGGGTGGTGTGGGGACCGCGAGGCTCCGCACTGGTGTGGGGGTGGCCGGGGCAGGGCGGTGTTTGCTTGGATTCAGAAATCCAGGCCCCTAGGTGTTGAACCTGAGGACAGTGTGCTCTCCTGGGCCTCGGTCCGTCCTCTGTGACCTGGTCACCCAGCATCTCTTAGATTTCCTCTGAGGACAGTGTGCTCTCCTGGACCGCGGTCCGTCCTCTGTGACCTGGTCACCCGGCATCTCTTAGATTCCAGCTTAGGCTCAGCAGGTGCTAAATATTAGTCAGATTGGAGCTGCATGCTGACTAGCACACAGTTTCTAGTTGAACTCCAGAGGTGCAGCCTCTACTCTCCCACTTGATTGGAAGCAGCACAGCTCACTTTGCCTGGGTCTTTTATCCCCAGCCCCAGCGCCTGCCCCTGACAACTCTTCCCTTCCCTCGTTCTGCATATGCTCGTTCTGCATATCCTCGTTCTGCATTTCCTCGTCTGAATTGCAAGCTGGTCTTGCTCTCGAGAGAGTGACAGTGCTTTCAGTGTCAGGTATGTTTTCTTGTTCCGTGAGTTTTCAGATATTTGGAAGCAGCTAATTTGATCTTTACCCTTCTGTTTTCAGCAGAAATAATTCTAGTTCCCTAAGTTATTTTTGTTAAAGGGCTTTTCTGACTGTCGGTGTTCTTGGTTGCTTTTGGTTGTGGCGGGTTGCTGTTTAGATAATGTGTGTTTTGGGAAATGATCTTCCCAAAGGTGGTGCTGGGATCCCGGAGAGCCCGCCCAGATTCCCCAGGAGCAGCTCCTACCCTCACTGCCAGACCCTGCTGGTTTTTGTATTTCACGTGGACTCACCTCCTGGCTTGTCAGGGCCTTGTGGGATTCTTAGCCTCTTAATGGATACGAATGGCACCGGCTTGCCTTACCTCCTTCTGGCGCTTGCTTCTCTGTGCTTGTGGGCTGTTCCACTGTAGTCTCTGGATTGGCCCCCGAACGTGCCTGCCTGCTGTGCAGGGATCCCTGGGTTCCCCGGGGCTTGGGGCCCTTTCACCTGCAGGTTCCCTGTCCTGCGGTCTGTGGCTTGCTCAGTGTCCTCAGGTGTCCTCTTCCGACTCGAGGGTCTCACGGGTGCCCCCGCCCTGCCTGGCCCAGCTGCCCTCTCTGTGGCATTTCTAGGACCGCGGTCTCTCTGGCATTCTGTGTGCCAACTTCTGCTCCCTCCAGCTCCCTGATGGGCTTTTCAGCACATCCAGGACCTGTGCACCAGGCCTGTTAATAACAACGGACTGTGGGGTGACCGCTCTCGGCCGGGGGATGTGGTTTGGCCCAAATCCTCTGCATCCGTTGTTGTAGCCACTGTGGTCTGGGCAGAGCTGGGCCCTCCATCCTGGGTGCCACTCCCATGAAGTGGTGAAGGAGGTGCTGCTCTGTGGAAAACGCTAAGGGTGGGGAGAATTGCACCGTAGGGAAGAGAGAAAAGGGGGTTCTGGCCTCCAACCTCCTTCCCCAGGCCCCACCCACAGCGCAGCTGGCAGCACTCTGTGTCTCCGGCCTCTTCCATCTCCCCAGACACGTCTTTCCTGGGAGGTGGCCTTGGCATGGCCAGTCCTGCTGCCGCAGGAACCGAGAAGGGCAGGTGCCTGTTCGTTAACGTGTGCCGCCCCCGGAGCGCTGGCTGTGAGTGGGGGCGCCTGGCGTGGGGCTGGACGGCCAGGGCCTGCTGTCTAGATGTGCAGTGACAAGACCCTTCCCTTCCAGGGGAGCCGGCTCTGACTCCGAGCTCTTTGTGGGCTGCATCTGCAGATTGAGGACAGCGCTGAGCGGAGCTGGCCGGGTGCTCATCCCTGGTGGGGGCAGAGGGGTCTGCATCCCGGCCCCCGGCTGCCGAAGTGGTAGGGTGGGCGTGCCCTTCCCACGCCTGCCCGCCAGCATCGCTGAGGGTCCCCGAGCTGGGGAGGGATGTCTCTGGCAGGGCAGCTCAGTGCTGGGCTCATTCTTCCCACGTCAAGGCAGCCGTCCCTTCTTGGTGGTTTCCCTTGCTTTGTGGCAGGAGCTGGTGGCCTGGGAACAGCTGCCGGGTGTTTAGATGAATTCCCGGGCTGGCTCTGGGGCGGCGCTTGCCCGGTCACTTGTCTGCTGCGATCACTGCAGAGGCTGCCTCCTTGCTGAGCCTCGGGGTGCTCACCGGCGGTTCCCACCTGCTCTGCACAGCCCGCCTCGTGCACCTGCTGACCCCACCGTGTCCACAGCCCGCCCTCCTTGGCTCACATCTCTTCCTGGGGTCTCAGGGAAGCGGCACCTCCTCAGGGGCCTCCCAGCCACCTCACGTCACTTCCTGGGGTCTCAGGGCAGCGGCACCTCCTCAGGGGCCTCCAAGGCTGTCTCTGCTTTAGCGTTGGGTTCCCGGGTCCCTCCCACCCCGACCTCCTGTGCCTGCGGCCCTGCGAGGCGTGATGGCCAATACACACCCTCTAGAGGGGCTTGTGTCATGTGGAACCAGCCAGACCCCCCGGACGGCTTGCAGGCAGGGAGATGGAGAAGCAACCCCTCCATGGGGCAGACAGTGCCATAGTCTTCACCGCCTCAGTCTGGGGGCATCAGGGCTGCAGGTCAGCTCTTCCCTGTCTTCAGTAAAGGATGGACGCGAGGACCAGGGTCCCCAGTGTCAGTGGCGGGTCAGGGATGCCAAAGTGCTGAGCAGAAGTTGGCCAGCCCTTGCCAGAGGCTCTGGAGCTGGGCCCTGACACACGATGCCGTGTGTAGTGACATGCAATTCCATGTAGTGACGTGATTCCGTGTAGTAAGGCGATGCCGTGTGTGGTGACGTGCAGTTCCGTGTAGTGACGTGATGCCGTGTGTGGTGACATGCAGTTCCGTGTAGTGACGTGATGCCGGGTAGTGACGTGATGCCGTGTAGTGACGCAATGCCGTGTAGTTACATGATGCTGTGTGTAGTGATGCGCGATGCCGTGTGTGGTGACACGATGCCGTGTGTGGTGACACTTAATGTCATGTAGTGACACGCTCGCAGGATCGCCAAGGCCAGGCTGGCTCCAAAGGCTTGGGTCTGGCTTCCTGGGGCCACTGGGTGCTCTCTGAGGCCGCCCATCACTGTTCGGGCCCTGGGGTGGGAGCTGGGCTGCAAAGTGGCCTGGACTTTATGTCCTGCCAGGTACAGTGTTTCCCTCAGCAGATTTATCAGGCGTTTTGGGTGTAAATGCCAGGAAGCCTGGCTGGCGCTGAAGGACCCTCCTCAAAGCCACGGATGGGCACCATGCTTAGGGGAGGACCTGGGGCCACTTGGTTGCATTGTGAAATGTTCATGATTTTTAAACAGTTTTATTTTTTAAAATTACTGAAGTCCAACAGGAGCATTATTCAGCATTTGAGGCCCCAGCCAGTACAGCGCTGCCTGGAATAAAAAGTAAAATGTCCCCCGGAACCCCAGCCCTCAGTTCTCCCTCCCT
The DNA here is from genome assembly GCF_000001405.40 of Homo sapiens. Lineage (NCBI taxonomy): Eukaryota > Metazoa > Chordata > Mammalia > Primates > Hominidae > Homo > Homo sapiens. The sequence continues at coordinate 45,419,859 of NC_000021.9, forward strand.
GGACCCCCCTCCTGAGAATCTTCTCACAACCTTGGCTTACTGACTCCACATTACGGCCGTGTCCCCGCTCTGTGGCCCGGTGGACGCAGGTAGCTTTGACTCAAAACAGGAATTTGTTTCCATCCTTTCATGGTCACAAATAATAAAAAGCAGCTTCTGGACAACAATGAAGTTGAGATAAATACCAGGACCAGACCGGCCACGGGAGCCGTGGGTGAGCCGAGGGTCCCCCTCAGGACCCCTGCATCCTGCCTGAGTGTGCAGCAGCTCCCCCCGACAGGAGCGTCAGGGCCGGTCTCCTCCGAGTCTCCTGGCAGAGGCGTTGCTGTCGCAGCTGGCACTGTGCATGGCTGGCAGCAGAAGTCTGTGCTTGGCAGCCCTCGACACCTGCTGGATGTGTTTGCAGGGCTGGGCAGGCACCTGTCCCACGGCCCAGCCCCGAGGGTCTCGTGGCACCAGCCTGGCAGGACGGGCAGCAGGGAGTTAACGGGAGCCACTGCGAGGACACTGTGATCTCAGAGCTGCGTCATCGCTGATGGAAGAGGTGACGTCCCCTCCACAGAAAGCGCCTTTGTGGGCGACCCTGGCTCGTCCCCCTGCAGCCCCCACGCAGGTAGTGGGCTGCCCTCTCCCTCTCCCGGAGTCCCCTCGGGGCACCGAGAACAGACCCCTCCTTCATCCCTGCTGTCAGCTCATGACACCGGACAATTTGGGTCCCAATTATATCTAGAGAACCAGGGGAAAGGTCACGTTGTCTAGACATTAATCCAGCACTGTGGCATTTTTTCCTGGGCCTGTATCCTGGCAACAGGAGGGCGAGTGGGGGCCCCAGCTCCTCCCCTCCTCAGAACCTTCTGGGGCTGGAGGTGTGGCATGTGCAGGGAAGGCAGCCTGGAGAAGGCGGTGCCCTTGGGCTGGGCCTGCAGTGGGCAGCCATGCAGGACTCCATGGGAGGAGAAACCACAGCTCTCGGCTGTGCTGGGGTGGGGTGAACAGTGGCGGGGAACCTTGGGGAGCTGTGGATGGCCCAACCTCATTGGAAGCTGTGCGTGGCCAAGCTCAGGCACCTGCTCTGCCTCTCCCAGTCCTGCCTGTGTCTGTCCTGGTCACGGATTCCTACCTCTGTCCCAGGAGGGTGTGAGGACAGTCTGTGCCACTCACCCGTGTCTGCTCCGAGCCAGGAGACTCTGGCCACCCCCACCCCACCCAGCCCTGCCTCGAGGTCCTGCACTGGTCCCTGCCCGGTACCGGGTCAGCTGGTGCCTGCCTGTCCTGCCCTGCACTCCTCAGGCTCCTCAAGGACAGACGGACAGACAGGCACTCTAGAGAAGGGACCTTGGCCAGACGGCTTTGCCGCCCCCACCCCCATAGGTGCTTGCTTTGAGCCCCTTGCAAAGGTGAAGCCAGATCTGGGATCCCAGGGCCTGGTGCGGCTGGACATGGGAGGAGGGCCACGGTCACGCTTGCACGGGGCAGAGACTCCCAGAACCACAGGCCTCAGGAGAGCTGGGAAGGGAAGGAGAGGGCACTGCGGTGCCTGGAGAGCCAGAGTCCGCCCGTGTGGAAGTGTTGGGGGCTGTGTTGCAGTGACAGCCCTGGCGTCTCAGGAGCGGAGCAGGACACCGCGTTTCTGGCTGTGCAAGGCTCCACGCGGGTCAGCAGCCCATCCTGGCTTGTCATGCTGTTAATTAGATTGGAAAACCTCGGCCTTCCATTTCTTAAATTGCTCACTCCTGCAGTCCTCTTCTCTTGCCTGCAGGCCTGGAAGGTGTGGAGCGGGTCAGGTGGCTGGCAGGTTGCCAGGAAGGAAGCTCACACTGTTTCAGGGTTGGCCGGGTACTTGCCGTGCCTGCCTGGCACAGAGACCCTCATTCCTGCCACCTCCCAGGCAGTAGGCAGCCAGGTGGACCACCGAGTGGAGAGAACCTTTGAACACCTCAGCACCTGAGGCTCAGGGCCCTGTGACAGGACACAGCCCGGGGTCCCCCAGGGCCAGTTGCACCCCTCTGGAATTCCTGAGCACTGTGACTGTGACCTGTGTCATATGTGCGGCCTCTCAGCTTGCAACCCTCCATTCCTGCCTGTGGTGTGGTGCCATCTTCACCCCATTCCATGCCAACACACTCACACAGACACACGCTCGGGCCGATACGCACACATGGCTGTCACACACACAGGTTCACAGACACACAGGCTCACGCACACACAGGTTCACATATACACAGCTCACACAAGCTCTCACACACACACGTTCACACACACAGGCTCACACATACAGGTTCACATACACATGGCTCACACACATGGGCTCACACACACACACACACATGCAGGCACACACAGGCTCACTGTGAGGTTTAATCTCAGCAAAGTCTGAGCACCTGGACTTGGCTCAGGGACCCTGGCACACCCGCTTGCTCTCTGTCTGTAGAGGGGCAGGAGGCCCTGGGTTTGGTGGGCTCTGTCTGTAGAGGGGCAGGAGGCCCTGGGCTTGGTGGGCAGGCATTTGGAGTGCGATGGCGGGGCCTCGCCTGTGGGCACTGAGGGTCTCACCTCTTCCTGCAGCTTTTGAAGGGATGGGAGGCTCCAGGATAGAGTTGCAGGACAGAATAGATGGCAGAAGCCAGGAGCCGGGGCCTTTGCGTGGCTGCCTGGCCTGACGCACCTCGCGCCGTGCCAGGACCCGGGCAGGGCAGCAAAAGGCATCTGTGAGTCGCCGTCCTGTGCGGGTCTCAGGGCACAGTGGGTGGCACGGGCTCTCCCAGCCGTCGGTTGGTGAAAAACGGGGCCTCCGCCCAGCACCCTGCCAAGGAAAGGGGAGGTAGCGGCCCCAGGTCAGGCCACTGGGTGAGGCGGGGCTGTGGGCCTCCTGGGTGGAGGGGCCTGTTCTTTGGGAGACCACCTGGTGGGTGGTGTCAGGAAGGTCCAAGTGGCTTTTTTTTTTTTGAGATGGAGTTTCACTCTTGTTGCCCAGGCTGGAGTGCAATGGCATGATCTCTGGTCACTGCAACCTCCATCTCCTGGGTTTGAGAGATTCTCCTGCCTCAGCCTCCCGAGTAGCTGGGATTACAGGCATGCACCACCATGTCCAGCTAATTTTTTTGTATTTTTGCCCAGCTAATTTTTTGTATTTTTAGTAGAGACAAGGTTTCTCCATGTTGGTCAGGCTGGTCTCTAACTCCCGACCTCAGGTGATCTGCCCGCATCTCCTTCCCAGAGTGTTGGGATTATAGGTGTGAGCCACCGCACCCGGCCGAAGTGGTTTTAATGTCCCCACTTTTGACCACTTCTCCTTCTCCATAGGGCAAATCAAGCTTGGAAATGGTGTCCTGGAGCTTAAGGGAGTTGGAAACCATGGCTTATGTTCCATGGTGACATGGTTCTTGAGGGTTAGCTGGTCCAGTTCCCGCGTGTTGGCCGGTCTGGTCCCTGAGTGTTGGCTGGTCCACTTCCTGAGCGTTGGCCAGCTGCCCTTGCTGTGCTGGGGTACATTCCCCGAGCTTCCACAGTTTCCCTTTCCTTGCTGCTGTATTCAGTGATTTGCAGAGAGAAAGGCGTGGAGCTCCACAAGCACCTCGGACGGCAGCAGGACCCTCCCAAAGCTGTGTCCACACACAGCTGGGCGCCCGCCCCCCGCCCCCCGCCCCCCGGAGGGCCCGGCTCCAAGGGTCATATGAGTGGATCTGGAGGTCGGCCTCTCTTGAATCCCAGCCTCCTCGGGGTCAGCCCAGGTTGTCCCCACCCCCACCTGAGTTACTGCGGAACCAAGGGGCTCATGGCCATTGAGTGACTCCAGTTAATGCTGAATTAGGTACCTCAGGCTTGAGTCAAATATTAACAGAGGAGGCCGGCCAGAGCTCCCCAGTGTTTGGAGGATAGCTTGGTTTTCTCCCTGAGTGCATTGCCCATACCGGGTGGAGGCAGTTCCGTCCTGCAGACTCCGTGGTTCTGAGTTGGAGCCCTTACTGGCCAGTTTAAGACCCTCTTGGAGCAGGGTTCTGCAGTGTCCTGGGGGCAGAGGCCTGACGCACTCAGCTGCTCGCCCAGGGCCCTCCTGTTGGGCATTTGGATTTGGAATCTGAGGCTGTAGGAGCAGCTGCCTCCCAGTGAATTCTGATGCACAGACAGGGGCCTGTCCTGCCAGCAGGTCCTGCAGACGGAGCCGGGCCAGGGTGCTGGGCAGTGCTGCGGGGCCCTGGTGGAAACAGTCCCTGCAGAGGGTCCCGGGCACTGGTGCTGGGGGGAGGGTAGGGCTTAAGGAGGCCTCATGTCGGGACCCTGGCAGGCCACCCCACCTCCCGCAGTGCCCGGTCCGCCATCCACAGTGACACAGGGACACCTTCTCAGGTGGAGGAGGTGGCAGTCACGGCAATTCAGGAGCAAACCCAGGCTTCCTGTGCCTCTGTGGTGGGCCCTGGTGGTGTTGGCAGGCCCAGGGCACAGGCAGGCTCAGGGCTCTGCTGGGGAGCAGTGGGAGGCCCTCTCTGCAGGGCGGAGAGCCAGGTGAGGAGGTGTGTGGCGCAGGTAAACACGCCTGGAGCGCAGCTCTGCTGTGGGTTAGCCGTGGGTCTCTGGGCGAGGGTTCCCGGGATACAGACACCTGCCCCAAGGTGCCCCACAGAGGATGACCCCCAGGGCAGCCGTGCCTGAGCCTGCGTGGTCACCTCCCACAGTGCCAAGGCGCTCCCCCAAGGCCCCTGCGGCCCACCTGACCAGTGGAGAACTCGCGAGCACTCGGCCAGTGGTGCCTCCAATTTGCAGCCTCCAATCCCTGGTCAGAGGTGTGACCTGACCCTGGACCAGAGCGCTGGGCCAGGTCCTGGTGGCTTCTGCCCTTCAGCTTGGAAGCTCCTGAAAACCGGCTCCCTTCCGGGGCAGCCCTTGGCCCCCACTGACCCTCCCTCAGTCCTAGGTGTGCAGTGGCGTGGGGACCCTGGGAGGCCCGTGGCGCAGCCCCTTCCCGCCTCCTGCCCGTCGGTTTCCATTGCTCAGGCACTGCCTCGCCCGCGCCTCTTTCTCCCAGACCTGAGCCACCGCTGCCAGGATCCTTCCCCAGCTGGTTTTCCTTCTCTTTGATGTGTTTCCACTGAGGGTCCAAACCGGTCCAGGCGCGGGTTCCAGAACTTTCTTCAGATCTCTCGCACCTGAAAATTTCCTCTGTAGCCATTCGCAGGAGGTTTCTCAGATGCCCCGGGCTCGGGGGCCAGTCAGTCTCATGAGGACGGGGTGGGTCTGACTTGTGGCATCGCGGCCTCTCCATCGGTGCTGCTGGGCCTGTGAGCCAATGGGTGGGCAGCACCACCCACCGCCTCCTTCCTCACACCAGTCTTGGGCTGCGCAGAGCCCCAGCCATGTGTGTGCTGAGTGCAGTGTGACCGCGTCCGCCCGTCTCCCCGGACACGCCTGTTGGAGCCCCGGCCGTGTGTGTGTGTGTGCTGTGAGTGCAGTGTGACCGCGTCCACCTGTCTCCCTGGACACGCCTGTCAGAGCCCCAGACTGGGCTCCCCTGGAGGACCCTGGTGCTGACACAGAGTCAGCGGGTCCCTGGGGTCCCTGCAACTGTCCCCCAAGAGGTGTGCATGGAGGTGGACCCCCTGCCTCACCCTCGGGTGGCCCAAGGCCTCTGAAAACCGTCACGGCAGGGGTCACAACCCCACTCACCCACACCCTCCTGCATGAACACTGCACAGCTACCTCCCGTGGGCTGCCCTGTGAGGTGTGGAGCTGGGCTGCAGACTTGCACAAGGTGGGGTCCTGTGTCTGGAGTCAGAGGGTCCCTCTCGTCGTCCAGCCTCCCCGGCTCCTCAGGGGGAGGTTCGGGGCCTTTGGTCTCTGGACTTGGGCAGCAGAAAGGAAACATCCCTGGGGGCCTGTGGTGACCCCCATCCTCCCCAGGGTGGTCTGGCAGGGGACACTGTTTTCCAAAGCAAAGCCAGAGCGCCAAGGGCTCTCGGGATTCACGAGATCCACATTTATCCCAAGTTAGAACAGCACATCTGTGCGTGCAAACTTCATTCTGACTTCGGCCGGCTGTCCTTCTTGCCCAAAGCACCGTGAGGCCTCATCCCTGCATCCCTGTTGCTTCTTTCATGTGGGATGAGAACCCAGGAAGGGGCTGAGTGTGACTCCTCTGGTTTTTAGAGAGCACTGCCCCCGCCCCGCCCCCTCCTGCTTCCCCACCTTTTCACAGTTGCCTGGCTGGGGCGTAAGTGAATTGACAGCATTTAGTTTGAGTGACTTTCGAGTTACTTTTTTTCTTTTTTTGAGACAGAGTCTCGCTCTGTCGCCCAGGGTGGACTGCAGTGGTGTAATCTTGGCTCACTGCAACCTCTACCTCCCGGGTTCAAGCGATTCTCACATCTCAGCCTCTGGAGTAGCTGGAATTACAGGCGCCCGCCACCACACCTGGCTAATTTTTGTGTTTTTAGTAGAGATGGGGTTTCACCATGTTGGCCAGGCTGGTCTCGAACTCCTGACCTCAGGTGATCCGCCTGCCTTGGCCTCCCAAAGTGCTGGGATTACAGGTGTGAGCCACCGAGCCTGGCCTGGAGTTATTTTGGGAGAGGGCAGCCCCTGGTTCAGCGTGGCGAGGCTGCGCTTGCTCTCCCGGGCGGGCGTCCACACCCTCCTCGCCGAGATGGAGAAGCCCAAACCCCTGCAGCGCTCCCCCATCACGTCCGGCCCTGGAAGCCCCCGGAAACCCTGCCACGCCCTGAGTGGGAGAGCGCAGGTCCCTTTCCGGCCCTGGAAGCCCCCAGAAACCCTTGGGTGCCAGGCCTGGCCGGGACAGCAGCGACACTGCATGCTCAGCCCTTGCGTGAGACCACGGGAGTGTCCGCCCTCTGCACGTGCTGCTGATTGCCCACTTCGTCCAGCAGGTTTGGGAGCTTGTGGCTGCATCCTCCTGCAGACACTTGCCCATTCTGGGGCCTCCTCTCTGTCTTTTCTCCTCTGTTGAGGGGTCTGGGAGGGAGGCCTTGGAGGGTACCCATGCTGCTGGGACTGATGCTCCCCGCGGTGGAAGGAGCTGCCTCTTGAACAGCAGGGGGCTGAGCAGAGGGGAGGGGATGCGGGGGTGCCGTGCACACAGGTGCTCTCAGGACGCAGGGGCTTCTCAGCCCTGCTGTCCCAGGGCTGCACTCCAGCAGGGCAGACTCCTGAGGTGCAGACACCCCAGCTTCACGCTCACACTTCTGGAAGGCGATGTCTGTGCGTTTGCTTTCTGCTGCAGTTTAAAAAGCCGGGCTCTCTCCGGAGCGTGTGTAGGGCCTGGTCACTGGAATATCTGGACTCAGTGTTAATGGCAGCCACGCTGGGGGCTGGGCCCAGCTTTCTGTTCTCCGTGTGGGTGCCATATCCACCTCCATCGCAGCCCTTTCTCTCTCGACCTTTTAAATCACAGTGTCACCTCCCCCTGCTGTCCTGCCAGTGGCCCCTGGAGGCTTCTCCCCACCCCTTTCTTCTGGGGCAATTCTTAAGGCTGGCATTGAATCAGGAGGCCAGATGTGGCCCCTAGTAACTCACCAGCAGTCCCTGAGGCTTCTGGCTCCCCTGGCCCACCAGCCTCCCATGTCTGCCTCAGGCCTCTTGACCCGCCTGGCACTGACCAGACTGTGTGCCCGGGTGCCGTGCCCATGGGCTCCGCCTCCCCCAGGCAGGCCCCCTCTTGCTCCGCGGCCACCCCTGCTCTTGACCTCACACCTCTGCGGTGTGTCTGGACACACCAGCACCACGGCGGGCGGGGAGCGGAATTCTCCAGGTGGGGTGGGCAGGCCGGCGGGTGTTGAGGTCTCTGTGCATGCTTGTGCGTACCCTGGACTTTGCCGTGAGGGGTGGCCAGTGCTCTGGGTGCCTTTGCCAGACAACTGGTCTGCCGGGCCGAGCATTCATGCTGGTCGCCATCACGTGACTCCCATGCGCCCTGGCCCTGGGGTTGGGTCTGCAGGACTGAGAACCAGCGGAAGGGGGGCGAGGCCTCGGGAATGCGCCGGCAACTGGCGATGAGCTCAGGCCTGACTAATGAGCCCAGGTGACTCATACACCCGGGGCCTGGATGAGTCTGACTGGGTCAGGACTTCCCTGCTTGTTCTGTCCTGGGAGATGTTGTCCCTGGCCCTGCAGAGCCGGGAGGACACGAGGCCTCCTGGGTCACAGCCAACGCAGCCTACTCCTGCCCACTGCTCGCGCCGGCCAAGGCCCGTCGGCACCACCTCCTCCATGAAGCCTTCCTGACTGCCCCCATCCCTCTGTGGGCAGCTCGAGTGTGCATCTTGAGTGCTGTGCAGGTTGGGGTCCGGCGCTCCTGCAGGCAGGCGGCGTCTGGGCCTGGGGGCTCTCAGAGTTTGAGGAGCGTGTGGTGAGGGTGGCCTCGGGCCTCAAAGACGCAGCGCTGTGGGAACCGGGAGACTGGCTGAGCCCGCTCTGAGGAAGGTGGGGCCAGGGGCACCCTCAGCTGACCCGGCGTGCAGGGGTGACCAGCCAGGCGTGGCCAAGGATGGGGTCTCTGGGATCAGGAGACTTCAGTAGCAGCCAGGACCGAGGCCACCAGTTTCCACCCTGGCATTTTCCATCTTTTGAAGGACTGGAAACGATTGGATTCTTTAACTTTTTTAAGTTGAGGTGAAATTCACAACGCATAAAATTAACCATCTTAAAGCGAACAATTCGGTGACATTTAGTACAGCCAGAAGGCTGTGCAGCCATCACCACTGCCCAACTCTAGAACATTCACACGCCGGAGAGAGGGAGCCCTGGGCCATCACGCAGCCACCGCCCGGCCCCAAGAACCTGCGAGTCCACTTTCCACCTCTGGATCGGCGGTTCTGGACGTTCATGCAGGTGGTTCCCGCAGTGCGAGGCCTTTTGTTTCGGGCTCCTCTCACAAGCCTCACGTTTCCAGGTACGTCGTGGTGTTGTGCAGACCCACAATTCATCCCTTTTCATGGGTGTGTAATAGTCCACCATAGATTCTCTACGTTTTAAAGCATGTTTTATGTGCCTGAAATGTCTCTGCACTCGAGACTATAGCTTGCTTTCTTTCTTTTCTTTTTTTTTTTTTAATTTGAGACGGAGTCTTGCTCTGTTTTCAGGCTGGAGTGCAGTGGTGCGATCTCGGCTCACTATAACCTCTGCCTCCCAGGTTCAACTGATTCTTTTGCCTCAGCCTCCCGAGTAGCTGGGACTATAGGCGCGCCACCCCACCCGGCCAATTTTTTTGTATTTTTAGTAGAGATGGGGTTTCATCATGTTGGCCAGGATGGTCTCGATCTTCCGACCTTGTGATCTGCCCGCCTCGGCCTCCCAAATTGTTGGGATTACAGGCGTGAGCCACCGCGCCCAGCCGAGACTACAGCTTTCTTTAACTGCATCCCTGGAGGGATCTGAGAGTCTCTTTCCCTGTCTCCTTTCCTTTGGAAAACATTTCAGCCAGGGCTCCCCAAGATGAAAGGCCAGAGTCCCAGGCATGGGCGTTGCAGGTGCACAGTTGCCACGGGGAGCTGTGGGTGATGGTCGCTGTCAGCGATGGCTGCTGCAGGTCCCTGTGAGGAAGGGGCAGTGCCCACAGCAGGAGGAGAGGGAGTCAGCGGACGTTGATTGGCAGTGCCCGCCCATTCCATCATTCAGTCACCCACTGTGCACCCAGCACCCAGGCTCGGCTGCATAGAACATGGCCCAGGAAGGCTCCACTTCCTGTCTCCTCTTCTCCCCTCTCCAGTCTCATGATGGGGCTGGAGGCATCTTCTAGTTTTGAGTTCTGAGCTAATGAACATGCTCATGAGCAGGCGGCAGGATCCCAGGACGGTGGAGCTGGGAGCCTGACTGCGGGTGACGGACAGGCTCTGGCAGCCCCTGTCAGCATCCTCTCCAGGGCATGTGAAAGCCAGTGTGTCCTCAGCTGCCAGTGCCCCCTCCCCACCTCCTCTGGGCCCATGTGCACGGGACCTGGGCTCCCCCAACCAAGCCTGCCCGCCTTGGTTCAGCAGAACGGCTCCTGTCTCTACAGCGGTGCCAGGCCAGGAGTGCTGTGTCTGTGAAGCGGGGTCATGGTTTTGGGGCCCTCATCTCCCTCGCGCCCTCTCATTGGGGACCCCCCGTCTCCCTAGCGCCCTCTCGTCCTCTCCTGCATGTGCTGTGTCTGTGAAGCGGGGTCATGGTTTTGGGGCCCCCCGTCTCCCTAGCGTTCTCTCGCCCTCTCCAGCATGTGAAGTGGGGTCATGGTTTGGGGGCCCCCATCTCCCTAGCGCCCTCTCGTTGGGGACCCCCCGTCTCCCTAGCGCCCTCTCGCCCTCGCCTGCATGTGCTGTGTCCATGAAGTGGGGTCATGGTTTGGGGGCCCCCTATCTTTCTAGCACCCTCTCGCCCTCTCCTGTATGTGAAGTGGGGTCATGGTTTGGGGGCCGCCATCTTTCTAGCGCCCTCTCGCCTTCTCCTGAGCGTGTGGAACTCTGTGGTGGTCAGAGCTAAGGTTCTGAATAGGTCGAAGCACCTCCCCGGTGCCTCTCACCCTGAATGCTCTGGGAGGACACAGCCTTTTCATAGGCTACGACTGACATGGCAGGAGGGGCCTGCCTGCCACCCGGGTCCTCTGCTGCCTGCTGCTTGCTGGGGAGGGGGCTCGAGACTGGGATCCTGGGCTTCTGCTCCAGCTGTGCCCAAGGGAGCTGCTGAGGAGGGACCGGGTGGGGCATCCACTCTGGGCAGGTTCAGGGTCATTCTTGGTGACCCCGGGTCCGGTTACAAAGGCTGATGGAGCGCGTGGGTGGCTGCCTAAGTCTCTGGAAGCCCAAGAATGTGGAGATGGCGCGTCTCGGCCCGGGGTCTCGTGGCTGGTCTGGGAGAACTTGCCTTTATTTCTAGGCAGGAGGCTGCACTGCAAGGGAGCGTCAGTGGCCCGGCTGGCTTTCCCCGGCCCTCAGCCCGCACTCGTCCACCAAAGCAAGCTCCTTTGTGGGGCTGCCCTGGGAAGCCGGGATCACGAGGCTCTGCCGGCCGTGGTCACCCCATGAGGCAGGGTCAGCTCGGGAGCAAGGCGGATCAGATGGAACAGAACACGTAGACCACCTCGCCCGCCCTTAGTCAGCTGGGCCATTGAAAATCAAGTCCGTAGAAAGACCTAGAAATAAGTCCCGGGGTGCCCTTGCCTGTTGACGGGCGGGCCGAGCAGGACTGTTCTCAGGCAGGCACTGGTCTCTTGGCTTCCAGGTGGTTTGTTTGCTGGTTTGAGGCTGGGGGTGACGCTCCTGTGCGGGAGGAGGTCGCATTCCATTCATAGCGGCTTATCTGGGCTGTCAGGCAGGCCTGGGAGGGAGCCTGCCTCTGTGCTCTCCAAGGGTGGGCGACGGACAGACAGGGTGTCCCACCCCTTCTGGGCCAAGGACAGAGGGTCAGTGTTTGCAGAGACCTGGGGAGGCCCAGGTGACCTCCACCGAGCACCTGCTGTGTGCAGGGCCAGTGCTGGCTGCAGAGACAGCGGAGCGTGTGTGGACCCGGCGGCCCAGGGGAGGGGGGCAGGCAGGACCCGGCGGCCCAGGGGAGGGGGGCAGGCAGGACCCGGCGGCCCAGGGGAGGTGGGCAGGCAGGACCCGGCGGCCCAGGGGAGGGGGGCAGGCAGGACCCGGCGGCCCAGGGGAGGGGGCAGGCAGGACCCGGCGGCCCAGGGGAGGGGGGCAGGCAGGACTCGGCGGCCCAGGGGAGGGGGGCAGGCAGGACCAGGCGGCCCTGGGGGTCAGGGGTGGAGGCCAGGCCTAGACGGCCCACAGGAGGGTGGACTCATTCTGACCGATTCCTGGAAGCCCCCGGAAAGTGGTGATGTTCTGGAGGGCCCAGCAGACCCCAAGGCCCCCAAGACAATCCCAGCTGGCTCTCTGCGGCTCTCGGTGTCTGCCATTTGAGACAATTTGGGCACAGGCAGGGCAGGCCGTCGCGGACGGTCTAAGCCGCGCGCATTGGTGGGGGCAGCAGAGCCCCTGCTCTCAGCTCCTCGGGGTACAGCGGGGGTACCAGGCGGGTGAGTGGGTGGGTGGTCACTGCTCCTGCCAAGGGCAGCCCTGGTTTGGTTTGCACTTGCTGCCCTGGTGACGGCTGCTCTCATTCCTGCCCCATTGCTAACAAGGGTGTCATAAGCTACTTTCCCGGCCCACATCCTATTAAGCCCATGGAGACCCTCCCACAGCTGAGCCTGCTGTGGGCTGCAGGCCCTGGGCGGTGCCCACCTCGGTCCCCACTGGCCTCCTTCCAGCACTTTAGAGCAGACACAGGTTGGAGATAAGGAAAGTTCCAGAGCACAGACTGGAACAAGCCCCAGGCCTCTCCCTGCCCCAGCAGGGCCTCCCTGGATTTGGGGGACAGGTGCCCTCATGGGGGGTCCTGAAGGTCAGAGCTGGGGCTGGGGCTGGGCTGGCGGAGGTGGCCTTGGCGGAGGCCACATTCCAGGGTCTCAGTGAGAGTCTGTGGCAGGCAGCCTTGCAGATGCCGCTGAGGGACCCCCCACTTCATGTTGTGGGTGATGTGGTCCATTGATTGCCTCCAGGTTTAAATCAGGTGGATATTTACCTAGCGGCCTCCTCTCCCTCTGCACAGGGCCTGGAGTGGGATGGACTGGGGTGCTCAGCTGGAGGCTCTGCAGACACAGCCCCCTGGGCTATGCAGGCCCTGCTGGGAGCCACATTGCCATTTTTCATCACCCACTTTTTGGGTGAGAACCCCCTCGAGTCCTAACATCTGCCGCATCTCAGAGCCTGTGGCTCCAGTCAGAGCATCTGGACCATACTGCTGGGGTCAGAGCGCGGCAGGACAATGGCCAGTTTCTGTGTGATTGCTGGCGGGAATCTTGAGCCATTCCGTGGGTCCGTGGGCTGGGATCTGGAAGCTTCCTTGAAATGTCTCTGGGCACGTGGCTCTGTGGGTCAGGGTGGGACATGGCCCCGTAGCAGGCTGTCCTACAGCAAAAGCCTGCTCTGTGAGCCAGCCCTGTGCAGGCCTCCCTCGGTACAGCCGGGAGGGGCCTCACCCTCCACCCACAGAAATCAAGGCTGCAGAAGACAGATGCCTGTGCCAACCCCTCCGGCAGAGTTATGCCAAATGTCCCACTAAATTCACCCCTCTAGGGAGAGGTGCCTCCTGCATCTACTTTTCCTAGAATAAGTATGAGAAACCCCAAATAGGTTCTAGAAAAAACAGCAGTGTACACAGATGTTAATCCTCTTCGAAACTTGACTGAGTCATTTAGCCAAAGAAAACAGCAACAATGGCTTCATTTCGAGAGGGTCACGGACACCCTTTCATGTTTGATTCCTTCTGACCTTGTGAGTTTATAGAAGGACAAGGAGAGAGGGACGCGCTGGGTTTGTTCAGATGTGGACAGAAAGTTTGGATGATAGGACAGAACATTTAGTTCAATCTTTCCACTTACGGCTCTTAAAAGCCCTTTATTTTTATAGGTAACATGCTTTAAACAAACTTTAAAATTTGAGGTTGCTAGTACCCATTGTGTGTGGATTGGACCAGCTCCATGAGAGTGGAGCCCGGGAGCCTCTCTGGTCGTCTTTGTGTGCGTCTGTGCCTGTGCCTGGTAGTAGTTCTGTCTGGAAGGTGAGCAGGGCCACAGAGCACCAAGAAAATACCAGGGACTTTGCAGGTCTCGGGTGGATTCAGGTTGATCCAACAGATGCCGGCCCAGGGCCTGCAAGGAGGCTCCTTTCGCGTGGCTGTCGTGGCCCCTGTGAGCTGGGCTTGTCCTATGAGAAGAGCTCCTGCAAGAACACCTTTTGAAGTCACCCCTGGGGGAGATGAGCTGGATGGCATTTGGAGCCCCCAGCAGCTCACATTCCTGAGCTCTTGGTCCCATGTGGGATTCGATAATTTTCTTTACACTGACAGGCAGCATCTCTTTGGCCAGCCGTGTGACTGTTGGGTCATGTGTCTTCTCTGTGCCTCAGTTTTTCTCCCCTGCAAATGGGTTCACTGAAAGCACTGGCCAGGGGAGGGGCTGTGGCATGGCATGACAGGCTGAGGGGCACTGAGCAGGTGCCAGGAGCCAGGTGGTGTCAGGTGAGCCCCCCAGGAACCCCAGTTTTTGTGCACGGTGGGAAAGAGACCATCAGGGGCGGAGGGGAATGAACACCCACCCTTTGGGGGCTCAGGTGCCAAACAGATGTGTGTGCAGGTGCATGAGCCAGGTGTGTGAGCAGGTGCATGGGCCAGGTGTGTGAGCAGGTGCATGGGCCAGGTGTGTGAGCAGGTGCATGGGCCAGGTGTGTGAGCAGACACTTCCTGTGCAAGCCTGTGCTCCTGTGGCTCATGGGTGCATGATCCAGAAACCCAGAGGCAGTGGCTTCACCGGGGGGTGGTGATATTCAAGCTCTTGCAGGAGGGGGTTGTGGCAGGGCAGGACAGAAGCATCTGACCAGAGGGTGCAGGGCCACAGCATTTCTGCCCTCGGGGACAGGCGGCCCGTGCTGGGACGGGCGCAGGAGCTCCTGAAACCTCTGTTCTCAGTTCAGAAACCAGGTACCTTTCCCATCTGACCCCCCAGGCAGCCATTAACAGGTCCAGGTGAGAGAGTCTGTGCATGAGACCTACTTTCCTTGCTCTCTCCGGGGGGGTTTGCAGCAGTTCTGAGCATCAGGCCAGAGGCTGGGACTCCCTGCCTGAGTCGGGGTGAGGGCTTCCCGTGGCTCTGTGAGCTTCAGAGGCTTGGCATGTACAAGCAGGGCTGTTACAACAGCCTTTAAAAAATCATGGAGAAGAACCCAGTGCATCTTCTCCTCAGAGGGTGGCAGAGGCTGAATGAATTTGCATCTGGACGTTCCACTTCCACCTCCTTCCTAACCAAAGACTGTATATGCAGGTGGTTCGTGGATGTATCTGGGCTGACTGGCAGTGGGGAGATGGGGGCTCCCCCACGTCTTGGCGGGGGTCCCGGTGGGTTGCAGCCCCCAGAGCCGGGCTTCCCGGAAAGGGGCATCGCTTCTCTCTTTTGGGCTGTGCTGGGGTCTCTCTGGTGAGGGGTGACCCAGGGCCTTTGAACAGCCGGTCCTAGACCAGGCCCTGGTTCCTGTGATGCTGACAGGCTGTGGCTTGAGAGCCTGGGTCGGGAAAGCCCAGTCAGAGGGGAAGCCGGGGGCTGGTTCTGACCCTGCATGGTTTCCTGAGGGACGTGCTCAGTGGGATTTGTCCCTGGAGCACCAAGGGCTGAAGGAAAGCCACTGTCCTGCTTTCTCGCAGCCCTGGTCCCCATTCTTCTGTGGGTGCAGGTGGGGATGGTGGGGTGAACCCGCCCTCCTGGGGACAGATATAGGGATGCCGGGATGCCGCACTGCAGGTGTGAGTCCTGGGAAGTGGGTAGGGGGTCGATGGGAGGAAGAGAGGAAGGTGGGGTGGGGGCGGGAGGAGAGAAGAGGAAGAAGGGGGTGGGGGGAGGGAGGAAGGAAGAGGAGGAAGGTGGGGTGGGGGTGGGCGGAGGGAGGAGGAGGAAGTGGGGGCGTCCCCATCAGAGACCTCCTGCAGACCTCCAGCTGTTTGGTCCATGGGTGGGTTGGTTAGGTCTGGGTTCAGAAGCCCCTTCAGTGTAGGTGCTCAGCTGGGCCATGGAGTCCTGGCCTTCCCTCTGAGCACAGACCCACCAGGAATGGGCAGCCCGTTCTTAGTGACCCTGGGGGCTGGGGAGCACCCACCCTCTGAGCCCCAGCTCGGCCTCCATGTGTCAGGTGGGAGGCACGGGCAGGGCCAGGCTGTGGGAGTCCGGGAGGGAGTCAGAGGTTGGCTGGGGCAGAGGTGGGGTCAGGGAGCAGGAAGTGAGCGTTTGCCCACTGGGGTAGACGCTGGGTGGATGGGGAGCTGGGAGTCCTATAGGGTGAAGGGTCTGCCGTGGGCTGAGGCATGTTGGGGCATCCCGAGTACCTATGGGCCCCTTGGACGTCCCCCCGGCGCTCCCTGGCACAGGTCTGCTCGGAGGGTGTCGGCCTCCTCTGCATTCAGGATCGTGGGTCTGTCAATTGGGACACCTATGAACAAATGCTCTTCCCATCAGTAACTCCGTGTGCCCCTCTCTTGAGCCCCTGTGAGATGCACCCTGGGGTCCCAGCCTCACCCACTATCCTTCACAGCAGAGCTGTGGGTCCATGGCCCAGGCAGGGTGGCCAATTCCTGCCCACTGCAGTCGGCAAGGGGGACACTGGGGCCTCAGGCTCATCTTCTGGGTGCGTTTATAAAGCCAGCACAATGTGCAGCGTTTGCAGACAGTATCCTCTGTGAGCAAGAGCATGTTTAAAGGGGGCTCATTTGAAACCCTACCTACAGGGCTGCCATCCCTCTGGTGAATGCCCACGTGGGTGACAGTGATTCTAGCCCTTGATTTCCTTGAGCTGATGGTGGGCCCCTGGGCTGAGGAGACCCTCAGCCAGGAGGTCCCAGGCCCAGGGATGAGTGAGCTGTACAGCAGTGTCACAGCAAAGCAGCCACCCTCACCCGGGGCCCATCCAGCGTGTGCAGTGGGCAGAAGCCTGCGTGAGCTGGGCAGGGACGAGGGACTGTGCCGCCGCCCCATTGTGAATCTGTGTTCATTTTCCTGACTTCCTTCATTTCTTGTGATTTTAAAGCTGGGGAGTGGAGATTCTACTTCCTGCTCTATCTGGAAGGAGAGGGCTTTCGGTTCGGCAAAAAAGTCGTCTTTGTGGGCGCCTGTGCCTCAGGCCACGTGGAGGCCACATGGAACTCCCATTGGGGAGGGGACCATGGGACTGGATGGCGGGAAAGTGCCCCACCCCTGCAGCCCTGGAACTGTGGCTGGGGTGGGGCTGAGGCTGGGGGAGGGGGTCTGGTGGGGAGGGAGCTGAGGCTGCTCAGGGGACTGCTGGTGGGGGGCCCTAGAAGGAGGGAGCCGTGGCTGTGGGGTCCCTGATGGGAGGGAGATGTGGCTTGGCGGGGAAGCTGTGGAGGGAGGGAGCTGTGGCTACTGGGGAGCTGTGGCTGGGGGAGTGCCGTGCCTGGGGGTCTGTGACTGGGGAGTTGCTGGCTGGGGGGCAGCCATGGCTGGGGGAACCCTGGCTAGGGAGGGGCTGGCTAGGGGCGAGCCGGGCTGCGCGGGGCCCTGGCTGGGGAGCAGCTGGCTGTGGCAGGAGCTGTGGCTGGGGCTTCTGCTGTCTGCATCCGTTCCTGTACATAGTGAAGGTGGGTTCTATTGCCAAGGTTCTGCAGGTGAGGGTGTGTGCTGTTCACACCACAGCATCACACAGGCACTCTCCTGCACACACACTCACACACAGACACACAGGCACTCTCCACACACACTCACACTCAGACACAGGCACTCTCCTGCACACACACTCACACAGACACACAGGCACTCTCCTGCACACACACACACAGACACACAGGCACTCTCCTGTACACACACACACTCACACACTCAGACACACAGGCACTCTCCTGCACACACACACACTCACACAGGCACTCTCCTGCACACACACACACTCAGACACACAGGCACTCTCCTGCGCACACACACACACTCAGACACACAGGCACTCTCCTGCACACACACACTCACACTCAGACACACAGGCACTCTCCTGCACACACACACTCACTCACAGACAGACACACAGGCACTCTCCTGCACACACTCACACTCACACACAGGCACTCTCCTGCACACACACACTCAGACACACAGGCACTCTCCTGCACACACACACACACAGACACAGGCACTCTCCTGTACACACACACACTCACACACTCAGACACACAGGCACTCTCCTGCACACACACTCACACAGGCACTCTCCTGCACACACACACACTCAGACACACAGGCACTCTCCTGCACACACACACACACACTCAGACACACAGGCACTCTCCTGCACACACACACTCACACACTCAGACACAGGCACTCTCCTGCACACACACACACTCACTCACACACAGACACACAGGCACTCTCCTGCACACACTCACACTCAGACAAGCACTCTCCTGCACACACTCACACTCACACTCAGACACACAGGCACTCTCCTGCACACACACACTCACTCAGACACAGGCACTCTCCTGCACACACACACACACACTCAGACACACAGGCACTCTCCTGCACACACACACTCACACACTCAGACACACAGGCACTCTCCTGCACACACACACTCACTCACACACAGACACACAGGCACTCTCCTGCACACACTCACACTCACACTCAGACAAGCACTCTCCTGCACACACTCACACTCACACTCAGACACACAGGCACTCTCCTGCACACACACACTCACTCAGACACAGGCACTCTCCTGCATACACACACTCACACTCAGACACACAGGCACTCTCCTGCACACACACACTCACACACTCAGACACACAGGCACTCTCCTGCACACACACACACTCACACTCAGACACACAGGCACTCTCCTGCACACACACACACTCAGACACACAGGCACTCTCCTGCACACACACACACTCACACACTCAGACACACAGGCACTCTCCTGCACACACACACACTCACACACTCAGACCCTCACACTCCAGGGCTGGGCAGGGGACCCCGGACCTGGCCTCTGGAGCTCATCCCTGGGTGCCTGGGCACGGAGTGCCGGTCACACTGTGCACCCATCCTTGTTTTCTCGATGTTGGGTTTACTTTTCCTGCCGGCTGCACGGCCTGCCCTTCTCAGGGCTTTGGGCTACTCTGCAGGGCTGGTGTTCAGGGCAGGAAAGGGAAAGGGGCAGTGGAGAGGGAGTGTGTGCTGTAGAGGCTAAGACCCCATTTGCACTGAGCCCTTCCATGGCTGTTCAACTCTGACGGGAGTCCACTGAGGCTCAGGACGCCTCTGCAGGGTGCCAGGGCCACGCAAGCTCCACAGCACGTGGACAAAGGCGCATCTAATCCTTGCAGGCAGAGTGGCTTATTAGACACGTTAGCAGGTCTGTCTGTGCAGCCGGAAGGAAGAAAGTGAAGTTAGATGCCCACATGTGACTTGGCATCCAGAGGCACATTCCAGATGGCGACCCGGGGCTCCCTGGTGTGGTCTGGGGGCCGGTGGGGGCCGAGGGGCTGCTGTGGGTCTGTGTGGAGATGGATACCGAAAGCCACAGGACGTGCTTAGGGACTTGCATGGCAATTTGGCAGGGCCGTTCCCAGCGCAAAGAAAGGCTGTCGGAGGTGCAGGCCACGCTCATCACCCGCATCTGACCCCACCAGGCATCCCACAAATGTGACCCTTATGTGTCTGTTAAAAACTACACTTAACGTTTTTTAATTCGAGAAAACCTATCTGTTGCTGTTATGTACAGTGCTGTAATCAGCAAACGTGTTCCTTGGTCATTTCCGCAACAGAACACAGTGGGAGGGGCCTGCTCTTCCGCAGCACCCCAGGCAGGCCTGGACCGCCCGAGTGGCCGTGGTCCAGGGGCGCGGAGGGCGCAGCGCGTTCCGTTTCGGCTCCTCTGGTGCGTGCCTCGTGTGCGTGTGAGCAGAGGCCGTGTGGATGCCGGGCGCCCGCCGGTCACGGGCTGGTGGGCAGAGAGGTCATGACCTTTTACTTTCTAGGCCTTTACGTATCGCAACGTGTGCGTTACGTTCATCATAAAAACGTCCGACGAAACCAAGAGCAAAGTGAACTTATTGGTGAAAGTTGCCATTGGGACTTCGGTGCCTGCTGAGAAATGCCTGGGCCTCTGGCTCCCCCTGGCGGCCGGTCCCTGGCTTGACGGAAGCGCGTCGCGCGGGCTCCAGACGTCCTGGGCCAAGTCCTGTGCGCGGGGCCTCCGGGTCTGCGAGCTGCGGCCGTGTTCAGAGCGTGTTTTGCCCGGAGCTGCTGCCAGCCTGGGCGGCTTTGGGCGCGTGCAGCAAGCAGGGTTTGGATTTGGAAGTGCAGCTCGTCCTGGCGCCAAGCACAGAGCCTGGCCTCTAAGATGCTCGGGAAATGCCGCTCTCTGCGCCCCTGAGTGCTCAGTGCGAGCCTGTGAAGTCCATTACAGTCTCCGGCTGTGAATGTAGCAAGGAGTGGGAACTAGGCCTGGGAGATGGGAGTGTTTGTCTGATGACTTCCTGAGCGAAAGCAAACTGGGAAATCTCGGGCTGCGCGCTGGTGCCCCGACTCCGCACCTCCCACCCCTTCTGTGGGGCCAGCACCCAGAAAGCGCCAGCGGAGGCTGGCAGGCCGTGGGCCGCATGGGCGGAGGGGCCGGTCCTCCGATGATGGGGCAAACGTCTCCGGCCTAGCCCCCGACGCTCGGGGATGTAAGGGCAAGGGCTGCGGGGTCGGAACGTCGGCTGTGGCTGTGGCTGTGTGACTGCTCCGCACCAGCTCAGCTTCCTCACCTGTGCACACAGGCTCCCGCTGGAATTTGCTGCGTTCTCCAAGCTCTGCAAGATTCAGAAGCAGAGGCCTCCCTGGGCTCTCACAGCCCCTTAGCTTCTTGCCCACCCACGGAGAGGGTCCAGAGCTGCCCCTTGCTGTCTGTGAGGAAAGCGGGTGCTTCAGGCCTGCCAGGGGTCCACTGGGAGTTGCTGGGTGGGCTCCTCAGGCCCTGCCCAGGGCTGACCCCTGGCTCCAGGTCCTGGGCCTCCGTGCCATGTTCCCCGCAAGCAGTCGGGGCCTGCTGGGGTTTGAGCCACGTTCCCCGGAAGCAGTCGGGGCCTGCTGGGGTTTGAGCCACGTTCCCCGGAAGCAGTCGGGGCCTGCTGGGGTTTGAGCCACGTTCCCCGGAAGCAGTCGGGGCCTGCTGGGGTTTGAGCCACGTTCCCCGGAAGCAGCTGGGGCCTGCTGGGGTTTGAGCCACGTTCCCCGGAAGCAGTCGGGGCCTGCTGGGGTTTGAACCACGTTCCCCGGAAGCAGTCAGGGCCTGCGGGGGTTTATGTCACACCCTGGCTGCACGTGGGGATCGTGTCTAAGCTTTTTGGAAATGTCGATGCCGGACTCCGCCCCAGACCTGGAGCTAGGAACTGGCCCCTGGCCATGGGCCCAGGCAGGGTGAGGTTTCCCAGCACCCTGGGTGATCTGAACTTGGGAGCAGGGCTGGAACCTGGGGGCAAGATCAGCACTTCTAGGACGTTATCGTGCGTGGGAACCACGGGACGCTCACTCATAGGAGGCTCAGCAGTTCTCTCGCTGTGCCGAGGCTGATGGAGACCTCACTGCTTGCCCCCGGGATGCAAACCCCGGGGACACCCGCCTTTCCGCTCCAAGCTCTGCCCACCGCCTCACATGGCCCTGGGAATTACAACAGACTTTCCCATCTCCCCACTATGGGCGGAATCTGCTGCAGCTGCCCAGACCTGGGGTCTTGCAGGTTCTGGACACCACAGCTCCCCTACACACAGAGGCTGCTCCTGCGTGGCCCTGGTCCCTCACCTCTACTTCTGGCACACGCTCCTCCACCTGCTGCCCTTCAGGGTTCATCGAGGTCTTATTTTGGTTCTGTACTGGGAGAGGGGGAAGCAATGGGGCAAGACGCTGCCCCTACTGTCCCCAGAAGATGAGGGACAGCACAGATGCCCAGGTAGAGTTTTCCTGTGTTAAATCATAAAACCCCCACATGCCCATCCCAGGTGCCCCACCTGCCCCAGCAGCTGCCTCCAGGCCTCGGGACGCTTGAACCCACCTCGAGGGCTGCCAGCTCCTGGCCTGGAGGTGCCCCCACCGGGTCCTCCAGTCCTGCTGCCCGGTGGCTCTGGCCATGGTTCCCGTCCCGGGCTGTTCATGTTCCCCCTGCTCCTCTCCGTGATCTGCCATCTCTGCTTCACCAGCCGGCGCCTTCTACAGAACACGGCCGTGAGCTTCCCATGTTCTGCCGCTGGCTCTTCACGCCAACAGGTCTCCTCTGAGCAGGGCCAGCTTATGGCATGGCGCCGGGTCAGCTCTCACCTGTCCCCCTCAGACGCCCACCTCTGATATGCAACTATTTCCAGCAGAAAATGTCCCATGTCCTTAAAGGATGGAGCACGCTGCTGGGAACACGGCTCTCTCCATAAAGGAGGGACTCCCCATGCCACTCCCAAGGCCACGGGAGGCCGCCCTCAGCACAGGGTCCATGGGGTCTCGGGGTCTCCCTGCCAAAGCACAGGCCTGGTGACCCCCTGGGACCCTCACTCCAGGGAGAGGACTGTGCATCTTGTGTGCTTCTCACAGTCACTGTGTGGGGTTCAGCCCAGGGGAGGTCACCTCGCCCTCATCCACGCAGTCCTGCGGGGAGGCCCATTTGCCCTGACTGCACAGTCCTGCAGCTCGGCTGTGCCCTTGAGTGGGTGGCGCTGCCCTGTTGCCCACCGTAGCTGCTGTGGGGCCACAGCCTTGAGCCTGGACACTGGCCATGACTGGATACCACCGGTGCACAGGGTGCACGTGAGGAAACCCTGCCCGTTCTGTGCCCGTGCCTTGCTTTTTCTCCTTTAAATCCCACCTGTGAGTTTTATTTTTGTAACTGCAGAGCATGATGAAAACCGTGAAGCCACAGAGGCACACGTCGTGTCTGTGGGGAGGGCCCCTCACTCTCTGGCTGCACATCACCCATGTGTCTCACTCACCATGGGTGTCCCTGCCCCTGAGCCCACCCTCACCTCTGTCAGCTGGGCAGGCGCTGCCCTGTCAGCCTCTGCCTCCACTTCCTCCACTCCTGGACATCGTAGTCTCTGTCGCCGGGTAGTAGCAGGGCCGGACCCCTTCGGATGAGCACGCCCAGGCCCAAGAGTGGCAGTCCTGGTGTGGGCGGTGGTGCTGGTGTGGGCGGCGGTCCTGGTGTGGGCAGCGGGGCTGGTGTGGGCAGCGGTGCTGGTGTGGGCGGCGGTCCTGGTGTGGGCGGTGGTGGTGCTGGTGTGGGCGGAGGTCCTGGTGTGGGCGGCGGTCCTGGTGTGGGCAGCGGGGCTGGTGTGGGCAGCGGTGCTGGTGTGGGCGGCGGTCCTGGTGTGGGCGGTGGTGGTGCTGGTGTGGGCGGAGGTCCTGGTGTGGGCGGCGGTCCTGGTGTGGGCGGAGGTCCTGGTGTGGGCGGTGGTGGTGCTGGTGTGGGCAGCGGTGCTGATGTGGGTGGTGGTGCTGGTGTGGGCGGTGGTGGTGCTGGTGTGGGCAGCGGTGCTGATGTGGGTGGTGGTGCTGGTGTGGGTGGCGGTGCTGGTGTGGGCGGCGGTGCTGATGTGGGTGGTGGTGGTGCTGATGTGGGCGGCGGTGCTGGTGTGGGCGGTGGTGGTGCTGGTGTGGGTGGTGGTGGTGCTGATGTGGGCGGCGGTGCTGGTGTGGGCGGCGGTGCTGGTGTGGGCGGCGGTGCTGGTGTGGGCGGCGGTGCTGGTGTGGGTGGATTCCTGGAGGACAGCTGGGTCTTGCATCCAGCACAGGTCCTGGTGCCTGGGAGGTGCTTACCCCATGGCCCCAACCGGCACAAGTGTGGCTGTCACAGCTGGGGTCTGGGTAGGTCTGGCAGCCCCATGGGAACCTGGCTGTGTGAGCCTGCCCTGGGGCCTTCCATGAGAAAACCCAGTTAAGGAGCAACCTGGTAAACCCTTGAAAACCAAGTGGGCCTTCACCAGCTTGAAAGGCCGCCCGTGCCTTTCCTCCTTGGCCCTCACAGCCCAGCTCGGCATCGCAGCAGAGTCCCGGTGGTGGAGATGCTTTGCCACTGGCCACCCAGAGCTAGGAGCCTCGGCCAAGGGCTCCCTCCTTGCACTGTGGTCTCTCGGGACCTAGGAGGTCCCGGGGTGTGGACTGTGCTGAACTGTTCTCCGACAGGCGGCCCTTTTTCTCCCACGTGGGCGAAAAGTGAAGCCTCTGGGTGGTCCTGTACCTGTCTGTCACATCCCGGGCTGCAGCCGGGTCCCCAGGGAGGCCTCCGTGAAAACACAAATCAAGTGCCAATTTCCTGGTGAAGAGTCTTTATGAGAGCAATGCGGCCCCGTGCCCCTTTACGCGGCTCTGCTGGTGGAGAGGAATAGCTGAGCTGCAGCACTAAGGAGAGATGCCTGCTGCATGATCCCCTAGATGCGTCCGAGGGACACTGGACATCTGGTGGCCCTCCAGACTCCTAGGAAGGGGACCGTCCTCCCAGTGGCAGCCAGGACTGCCTGTCCTCTTTTGGGTGGCCAGGATGTCACAGGGCGAGTAGGTGTCTGGCCCTACCACTGGGGGGCCATGTTGCCACGCAAGAATTCAGTGTCCCTCTGTGGGGAACGTGCTTCCCGGCTGCCACGCTGTCGCTCTCTCTTGTCTTCTGTTCGGCCCCTTCCCCGTTGCACATCCTGGCCTGGCGTGGTCGTCCCGTGGCGTCCTCTACCCTTTCCCATGTGACACATTCGCTCCATGGTACCTCCTGCCTCCCGAAATCACCTCTAAGTTCACTTTGTGCCAGGTTTTGTTCTCCAGCGCATCTTCAGTGCTGCGAGCAGGCTGGGCTTGCAGCAGGAGCACGGGTGTGCGTGTGGAGTGAATGAAGGGCCGTGTGCCCGAGTAGGTGGCGTGCAGGGGTGTAGTGAGGTGCGTGCAGGGGTGTAGTGAGGTGTGGGATGTGCAGAGTGAATGAAGGACGTTGTGCTCGTGTGGGTGATGTGCGGGGTTGTGGTGAGGCGTAGGGCTGGGGTCAGCTGGTCGTCCGGACTTTTGGTTTTCTGGCTGTAAAATGCACATGCCAGGATAGTTGTGAGGTGCACGCTCACTCGTGCATGGAGGGTGGTTCCACAGTGCTGTGGACAGAGGAGCCCTCGATAAATGCCAGCTGCGAGCACCGGGGGCCAGCACGAGAGCAGCTCTGAGAGCCTGGGTCGTGCAGGGCGAGAGAGGCTCCGGGGAGTGGAGGCTGTGAGCCAGGGAGGAAACACTACTCCACGTGTTAGGAGGAAGCCACGTGCTCCTCGAACATGCTGGTACTAGGTTTGAAAACCAACATTAGCAGCAAAGATGACTCCGTGTCCATACCCTAGTTTTTAAAAGTTGATATAGCCCCTCTAAAAATGAGTTTGAAAGCACAGGAATTTATAAGAGAAAAACTTTCATCAAATACATGAAAAAAATCAATCTCACTCAAAATGGAATTAATAAGAAATCAAGCAGCATTAAGGATTGCGTGGTTTGGAAAATGTGATGTGGGTCTCCCTTGATTGTTTTGAATGGCTTTATTGAGATGTAATTCACATTCCGTGCAATTCACTCGAAGTGTACAATCCAGTGGTTTTCAGTATATTCAAAAATCTATGCCACCATCATCCCCATCGACCGTGGAACATTTCATCACTCCAGAGAGAAGCCTTTCCGCCGCCCTCCCTCCCTCCAGTCCTGGCCACCGGTCATCTCCTTTCTGTCCCTGGGTTCCGTCTTCTGAGCTTCCATACGAATTAAACCATGGAACGTGTGGTCGTTTCTGTCTGGCTTCTTCCCCTCGGCCTGTGGTTTCCGGGTTCGTCCGTGTTGCACCCTGTCCCAGGGCTTCATTCCTTGCTGTCACTGAATAATGTCCCACCAGGTGGAGGCACCATGCTGTGCTTATGGATTCAGCATTTGGTGGACTTCTGAGCGGTGTCCACCTTTTAGCTGTGATGAACGGTGCTGTTGTGAACACTTGTGTACAAGTTTCAGTGTGGACGTGTGTCTTCGTTTCTCTCGGGTATATACCTAAGGTGGAATCACTGGGACTATGGTAACTGTGTTTACTCATTTGAGCAGCCGCCAGCCTGCTTTCCCAAGTGTCTGCACCATCTCACGTCCCTTCCTGCAGCCTTGGGAGTTCTGATTTCGCCACATCTTTGCCATCACTTGTTTTTCTCTGACTTTTTGTTTCCAGCCCATGTTGGGTGTAAAGCAGTGTCTTGTGGTTTTCATTTGCATTTTCATGATGACTGATAATGTTGAACATCTTTTTTTGTCTTTCTTGGCGATCTGTATTTCTTCTTTGGAGAAATGTCTATTCCGATTCTTGCCCACTTTTAGTTGGATTATTGTCTTTTTGTTGTTGATTTATGAGTTCTTTACATCATCTAGATAGAAGTGCTTCCTCACATATATGATTCGCAAATATCTTCTCCCATTCTGTGAGATGTCATTTCACTTTCTTGATGGTGTCCTTTGAGGCACAAAACTTTTAAGTTTTTACGAAGTCCAATTTATTTTTCTTTTGTCACTTGGGCTTTTGCTGTCATATGTAAGAATCTTTTGCCAAATCCAAGGTTATGAAAAAGAAAACCTTCAAAAGTTTTTTTATTTTAGCTCTTTTATTTAAGAGCTAAAATAAAAATTTTAATAGCTGCATGTGGTGTGAAGTAGGGATCCAGCTTCGCCCTTTTGCGTGTATCTGTTCGTTGGCCCAGCACCGTTTGTTGAAGGCTGCTCTTTCCTCACTGAACAGTCTCGACATTCTTGTCAAACATGAGTTGCCCGTAGGTTATGAGTTTATTCCAGAACCCTCAGTTCCACTGCACCGATGCGTGTGTCTGTCCTTGCGCCACTCCCACACTGTCCTGTTACCATCGCATTGTAAGTCTTAAAACTGGGAATGTAAGTCCTTTGACTTTTTTCTAATCCAATACTATGAACAAAATAGATGGCAGATGAAATTGAAAATTTCCTAGAAAGGTGCAAACTACTCAAACTGATTCAACAAGAAATAGACAATGTGAATAGATATATAACAAGTGAAGAGGTTGAATTAGTAATCCAAAAACACCCATAAAGAAAAGCCAAGGACCAGAGAGCTTCCCAGCTAAATTCTACCAAGCATTTAAAGAATTAAAACCAATTCTCACAAACTCTTTCAAAAGACTAGGAGAGTGGGAAATGCTTCTCAATTCATTTTATGAGACCAATATTACTCTGATACCATAATCAGACAAAGACATTGCCAAAAAAAGAAAATTGCAGACTAGTTTATCTTACGAATTATGGACACAGAAATCCTTGGTAGACTACTAGTAAATAAAATCCAGCAACATATAAAAAAAATTCACCATGGCTAAGTGGGATTTATCCCAGGAATTCAAGGTTGGTTTAACACTTGAAAATCAATGTAATACATCATATCAATAGAATAAAATATTAAAAACACCCAATCATCTCAATAGATGCAGAGAAAGTATTGGACAAAATTCAACACCATTCATGAAAAACACTTAACAAGCTGGTAAAGAGCATCTGTGACAGAGCCCACAGCTGACACCGTGCTTGTGGTGGAGGAGCGAATGCTTTCCTCCTAAGATCAGGAGCAAGACAAGGACGTTCCCTATTGCGCCTTCTGTTTAACATTGTACTGGAGGTTCTAGCCACGAAAGTTAGGCAAGAAGAAATAAAAGACATCCAGATTGGAAAGGAACAAGTAAAACTGTATTTTTAGAGGCCAGATCTTATATATATATATATCATATATCATATATATCATATATCATATGTATATTTAAAAGTAAAAGTTCTAACCTCTAAAAAGTTTTTTATTGTTCCTCTAAAATTACAGTTTTTTCTAAGTAATCCACAAAAAAACTATTAGAACCAATAAATGAGCTCAACAAGGTTGCAGGGTATAAAATCAGTATAGAAAAATCTATTGTATTTATTTTGCAATGAACAATCCAAAAATGAAATTAAGAAAGAAAAATCTGTTTACAACAGCATCAACAAGAACTTATACTCTGAAAACTACAAAGCAACATTGAAAGTAATTAAGGAAGATCTAAATAAATGGAAAGTTATCCCATGTTTATGGATTGGAAGACAGAATACTCCCTAAATCAACTAGAGTCCACACAACTCCTGCCAGAATCCCCACTGGCTATAGAAATTGTCAAAGTGACCCCAATACTTAAATTGAATTTCAAGGAACCCAGAATGGCCAAAGCAATCCTGGAGAAGAACAAAATCGGGGGACCTCTTGGCTCTCGAACTTCTTAGAGTCTTTGAAAATATCTGCTTTGTTTTGGGTAGAGCATGGATGGTTCCCTTAGAGCCTATAGAGCACATTGAGGTCTTTTGGTTCGCCCTCAGTGAACTTTATCACATCAAGCAGGAGATGTCGGTGAGCCTCGCTGCCCTGCTGTGCTCCACCCATTGGCCCCCCTTGCAGCAGCATTCAGGAGAAGACAGAGGCAGCGTCTTCTGCCAGCCTCCTCGGACTGGAAGGAGTAACAAGGCTTTGAAGGCATGCAGGAATAACACCCACACAGAGCCCCAGGGGACATGGATCGAGGTCTGAAAAGCATTTCTTCCCACCCTCTGCTGAGTCACCTGGACTGCCAGAGGTAGAGCTGGCATAGGGAGTTTGCCAGAAGACATCAGGAAGAAACCTCTATTTTCTCTACAAACATCCTTTGAGAACATTTCAAACCTGCATTGACGTTGATACGATGATCAGAAAACGCTCATACACACCTTCCATTCGACTCACAAGCAAACACTTGCCACATTTTTCCCAGGCACTCCCTTTCTCTCCATCTGTGTCCATATCCACACACACGCATATCCACATGCACAGGTATCCATGCGTGTGCACACAAGAATATCTACATGCACCTCCACATGCGTACATATCCGCACACATCCGTGATGCATATCCATGTGTGCACATGTACATACCCATGCACACATTCACACATGCTCATCTGTATGCACACATAATCCACATGCAGTCCACACACACAGATATCCATGCATGCATGTATCCATATCCACACATCCGTGTACACGCGCACACGTGTGCTTCTGCATACCCACATGCAAGTACAGACGCTCGCTGAGGTGAGCCGCAGCATCTCCACACATTGCCCTGTAGATGCACTTCTGTGTGCGTGTCCCAAGAACAAGGACATTCTCCCACAGAGCCACAGTGTCATTGTCACGCCTGAGAAGTTTACAATCATTCTGTCCGTCCTCCTGTGAACAGGTCGTCTTCAGATGCGCTCCATAATGTCCTTTGCCCCACTGGCCTGCGTATCTTTTGGGCAGTCCCAGAGCCGTCAGGGACCACGTGTTGCATTAGTGTCCTGCTCTGTAGTCTGTTGACTCTGGAGCAGCCCTGCCCGCCCCCGCTGCCCCACCGCCTTCTTCCTAACGTGGCAGTCCAGCTGGGTTTCTATGGGGGTGTCTGACCCGCAGCCTGGACTCACCCACCTGCCTGCTCGTGTTTAGGTGCAGGCTTTGTGGAGAGCCATGGCAGGGGACTGTGTGTCCTCCCCGTGGCCTCCTGTCAGGGGCAGAGGTGGCAGCTGTCCCTGGGAAGATGTCTAAAGTGTCTTTTCCCTGCGGCGCTTTGATCCTCTTGCTGCTCCTGCCTCAGGCCCCGCTGCCCGGCTCATGACCCTTCACCAGTGATCCATCTCCTGTGTCTCTGGCGGCCTTCCCAAGGGTGGGCCCTGGGGCTGCGGTGGAGGTTGCACCAAGCCCGAGGGGAGGGCCTGGCTCACATGGGCTTCCAGCTGCCGCCGGCCAGGTGCGGGGAGAAGAGGCAGGCTGCCCGCTGAGCGCCAGGCTGTGCTTGGCATTAATTTAGGAGCCAAGAAGGCTCCCACCACTCGTGATCACCCAGTGGAGGATTGGGGTTGAAGACCTCAGGCTCCCCACCTCATAGTCCCCAGGCTCTGCCGAGCGGTCAGAGGGACACCAGAGCCTGGGGAGGGACACGGCTGAGTCCAGGAATGTACATCCAGGGAAGAGCTAAGAGAAGCCTCGTCGTGGAATCGGGGGACAGAAGCCTCCACCCTGCCCCCACCGTGGGGGAGAGAATGGGCTTATGGGGCACCCTGAGCACTGAGCAGCGGGGGAAAGAGGCTGTAAGCTGGGGGTGGGTGTTAGACAGGGTGTGGCCACACTCCCTCTGCTACCGTAGGTCTTCAGGTCCATGTGTTTGGTGACAGGGGAGTGCCCTCCAGGGACCTGGACCCAGGCCTGGCCACCCGGCCCTCTCACTGTGCGGCCACCTCCAGCCACTGAATCTGCAGGTGGCGGCAGCTGGTCATGCCGCTGGCCGGGTTGTGCCCGGTGGCCAGGTCTGGTGAGAGGTCCCGGCCAAGCAGCAGAGATGTCAGGGGGCACTCTGGAAGTGCCATGATAAAGCTGCCTTTATCATCGTGGTTTGAAAAAGTAGCCACAAAATGCAGAGCCCAGGAAGCACGTTCAGAGACTTCAGACAATCATAAACTAGTTGCGCCACAGAAAGATGAAAAGTCATGTTTTCATTTCAAAAGGGCTGGAGACGTGTCTGCGGCATCCAAACCTTGACTGGCTGTGCCTGCCTGGGGGCGTGCCCATGGGCAGTGGGTACTGGGACCTCAGGGCCCAGGTTTCGCTCCCTGGAATCTCCAGGAGCCTGCCTGGGCCTGTCCTTGGACAGTCTCTGGTCCCTGGGGAAGGAGGGGAGGGAGGCCACACCTGAGGGGTCTCTGCAGGACATTCTGGGCTCGGGCGAGCATCTGGGGGCAAGGACAAGCTCAGGGAATGAAGAGGGTGGCTCAGGTGGGGTCTGCCCTGCTCCCTCATCCCTGTCATCCTCCCCCAGCCTTCAGGGTCGAGGTGTGGGAGACCCGCGGAGAGGCAGCCCAGAGCCACCCGCCACGGGCTGAGGCCTAGGGTGGCCAGAAGCAGGAGGGACGCCTCTGACGATTGAACAGCCCGGAGCCTCAAAGCTACGGTTGGGGCCTTCAGCCCGGAAATGAGCCCCCCTCTTTGCCCCCTGATGAACCAGTTTCCCCTGTTCACGTGTGGATGTTTGTACCTTTTTAAAAAAAGAAAATAAAAGACCACACTATTTAGGAATTTAAACCAGACAGGCCAACAAGACAGGACAAACCCTGGCTCGGGGCAGGGCGGAGACAGTGGGAGGGTGGAACCTTCCCGAAGACCAGATGGGGTGCAGGGAGTGGGGAGGCTCAGTTCTTGGCACCTGTGTTCATGGTGGGTGGTCTCCCTCGTCCTCTGAAACTGCAGCCAGTGCATGTGACCTCCCCACCGCATCTCAGGCCTCCCTCCCGGTGTGCCCACCCTGCACCCCACAGCCAGCTGCTTCAACGTTTGGAGCCCGTGGCTGGCGTGGCAGTGGTGAGCCCTCGATGGCTGTGCGGACACCAGAGGCTGAGGGAGGACACACACTCCATGGTGGGACAGCACCCCCGGGTCCACCAAGGCCAGGTGGACGCTTAGGCTCCAGGGCCCTCGTGGCTGCTCCGGCGGTGCCATCACCTCTGGAGACAGGGCCCGACTCTGCAGGACGGCACCAGTGGGGGACAGCAGGTCCTCTGGGGGGTGTGAGGTTCTGAGCTGTTAGCCTCAGGCTCCTCAGGAGCGGGCAGGTCATGATAACAAGAGTGGCTGCGTGCGGGTAGCCCATGGCTACAGCTTCCAACGGGCATTTCTAGTGCCCTGGCCAGATGGCCGGCCAGCGGGGGCCATGGTACCACAGCACTGTAGCCTAGCAACAGAGGAGACCCATTTTCTCATCAGGGATAGAGCAGGGAGTCAACCCAAGGTCAAACTCCACACGCACTGGGACAGGCTGTGATGATGTGCAACCCAGCAGCTGGGTCAGCTTGGCTTCCAGGAAGGGAGCCCCTTGGCCCTCCTGTTGTCATAACTGAGAGCCAGAGAAAGGGGCCCCACAGGCTCTGGGGCCCTGGGGACACAGCTGGGTGGCTGTGTTGTGGGGTGCCGCCTTTCCGGGATCCCACGGGGTTGGCGAGCCATGCTCTTCCCCAGCTCCTCGCTGGCCTTCACAGGGATGATGCACTTGTCTGCGTGGGGTTTGCTGAGGGAGTTTGTGGTTAACGTTGCCTTTGTTGAGTCGAATGAGGACGCCACGTTCTGCACTCAGCAGCAGGAGCGCTCAGAGGGGAAGGCGGTGGGATTTGAAGGCTGCTTCCTCTATGAAGTCAGACTGGGAAGGTCGATCTCAGGCCTCAAGGCAATAGGGTGGGGGCACTTCAGACTGGGGCACTCTCCTGTGTCACCCAGGTCCTGCGCACCCCCAGGGAGGGGTCTCACCTGTCCTGTCAACTCTGCTCCATCGGGATCCATGGGCCCTCTTCCTCCTTGGCTGGGGTCATCTCCAGTGAGCTCCATCATGGGCCTCCCAGCCGCCCCATCAGAGCCAAGTGGTTCCTGCCTTCCTGCAGACCCCAAGGTCCCTCATGACGACACGTGTGTCCTCTGTCTCTGGCAGGCCTGAGGCCGCACTCACCCCAGGAGGCACCGAGGAGCCGCAGGGAAACTGCCAACTGCTGCTCCTTGTGCCTCAGCTTCTCTGCTCCCTCCACCAAGGGGAAGAGGCCATGCCGAAACCCTGGTCCGCACTGCTCATGGTGCCATCTGGGCACCCAGATCCTGGAACGAGCCACAGTCGGGCCCTTTACACAGAGCTGGGCAGGGGCTGGGAAGGAGGCCTGGATCCCTGGCCATGCTGCTAGCAGGACTTGGGCAACACCAGGGTGCTTTCTGAGAGTGCAAGTACATGGTGAGTGTGCTTGCCTGTGTGCGTGTGTGTGTGAGCATGCATGGCAGAGCTGAGCATGCATATGCACTCTGTGACATGTGTAAGCATGTATGTGAGCTTGTGTATGCATGTATTCATGTGTGACGTGTGTGTATATATGTGAGCTTGTGTATGCATGTGAGTACTCACGTGTGACATGTGAGCATATATGTACGTGTGTGTTTCTGTATGCATGTGTGTATTCACGTGACGTGTGAGCATGCATGTACATATGTGATTGTGTATGCATGTGAGCATTCATGTGACACATGTAAGCATGTATGTACATGTGGGGGCTTGTGTATGCATGTGAGCATTTGTATCTGACATGTAAGCATGTGTGTGTGAGCTTGTGTATGCATGTATTCATGTGTGACATGTGTGAGCATGTATGTGAGTTTGTGTATGCATGAATATTCACATGTGACGTGTGAGCATATATGTACGTGTGATTGTGTATGCATGTGAGTATTCACTGACGTGTGAGCATGCATGTACATATGTGATTGTGTATGCATGTGAGCATGTATGACATGTGTAAACATGTATGTATGTGTGGGGCTTGTGTATGCATGTGAGTATTCACATGTGACATGTGAGCATGTATGTACATGTGTGTGAGTATTCACATGTGACATGTGAGCATGTATGTACATGTGTGACCTTGTGTATGCATGAGTATTCACATGTGACATGTGAGCCTATATGTATGTGTGTGATTGCGAGTATTCATGTGTGACATGTAAGCATGTATGTACATGTGTGAGCTTGTGTATGCATGTGAGCATTCATGTATGACATGTAAGCATTATGTATGTGTGTGGGCTTGTGTATGCGAGTATTCACATGTGACATGTGTGAGCATGTATGTGTGTGTGATTGTGTATGCATGTATTCATGTGTGACATGTGAGCATGTATGTACATGTGTGTGCTTGTGTATGCATATGAGCATTCATGTCTGGCACGTACGCTTATATGTACATGTGTGGGGGCTTGTGTATGTGAGTATTCACATGTGACATATATGGCATAGCTAAGCATGCATGTGCATGTGTTCATGCATGAGCAGGAGTGAGCATACATATATGTGTGCATATGTGGGTGTTCGTGTGTGAGCATGTGCGTACACATGCGTGCGTTTGAGTGATGATGTGAGGAGGCTTATGTAGTAGCCACCCTTGCCAGGTGCTTCCTGGTGGGAACCAGATCCCGGGGGCTGAGCTGTGGAGCCGTGGCAGAGCCGCACTAGGATTTCCAGGAGGTTAAACGTGCGATGCTGTGGAGGTGCTTGGAGGTGAGGGAACCCCAATGGTGGACAGGAAGCTCTCAAAGCACTTAGAGGTGGAGGAGTCCTGGACAGTGGGCAGGAAGGGTGGGGTCAGGAATGGAGTGGGCAGGGGAAGGGTGGAGGGAGCTGGGCACCCTGCAGATGGCAGGGTGGGTGCTCAGTGCCATGGGGCTGCCACCATCCTCCAAGTGTGGCCCCGAGGGCCGGAGCTGCTCTCCCTCCATTGCTAGGCGTAATCAGTTCCTTGTGCCTGGCTCTGCCCAGGAGGTGTATATTGGGGGGCATGAATGTAGGGCCAGCCCAGCTGGCCAGTGACCCTCTGAGCACAGAGCCTTCGGGATGGGGCTGGGGGTGTCCCCCACAACAGAGTTCCCTTCCTGAGATGCGCTGGTGGAGGAGGGGGCAGTCTCTGGAATTTCTGTTTGGAGACTTTCCGGAGGCGTGTTCAGACATAAAATCACAGCAGCAGCAGTCAGTTTTCAAGCAAAGAGACTTCTCTGGGCATCTCTGAGACGAGTTTGAGCAGTGTGGGGATTCGTTTTGGGAGCACGGCCTCACTGACATGCAGATGTTTGCTTGTGGAATGCCTGCGCCTGCCCTCGAGAAGGAGGTGGCACTCAGCTGCTTGAAACAAGGCTGGGTCCCAAGCAGCCCAGCCCTGCCCTGTGGACAGCAATCGACCGATGGCTACAGCATGTCCTGACCTGGGGACAGCTGGGGACAGGTTGTGGGGCTGTTTCGTCACAGCTGCTGTCACATTAACTGACCCCAGCCCTGGGGGAGGGTGGCTGCAACCCCAGCCGCACAGCCTGGAGGAGGCAGGGTGACGAGGGACTCCAGCTGGGGGAGCTGGCGTGCAGAGCACTGAGGGGGTGGGTGGATTGTGGGGTGAAACCTGGGTGTGTGCGTGTGAGGATGCACATGTGTGAACGTGTGTGTGAGTGAGCACGCCTGTGTAAACTGCCTGGCTCCACCTCTGATGGGCTCCGTGATCTTGAGCGGGGTCACCAGGCTCATGCCTCAGTTTTCTTCATCTGTGAAATGGGCC
Source organism: Homo sapiens (assembly GCF_000001405.40). Taxonomy (NCBI): domain Eukaryota; kingdom Metazoa; phylum Chordata; class Mammalia; order Primates; family Hominidae; genus Homo; species Homo sapiens. Next base: position 45,454,638 of record NC_000021.9, read on the forward strand.
GATGGCCAGGCTGCACACAGGTCCTCAGAGGGCATAAGGCACACTCAGCACCCACTGCTGTGCCTGGGCAGCTGGCGGGGGGGCACAGCAGCCACTCACATGCCACTCACATCCCTGTGGGTTACCGGCTGCCTGGAATGTTCCAGTCTAACCGGATCCTTTTGTGGACGGGGAGACTGAGGCCGGGAAGGAGTATGCATTCCTGCCCTGGTCCCGGGCTCCGTCTCTGCTGGGTCTCCTGGGCAGAAGGTCAGGAAGGGCTGAGAGGGACACAGTCCAAGGCAGGTAAAGCCCCAGCTTTGAGGGGAGGCACAGCAGCTCTGAGAGGGTCTGAGCCCCTCGAGACCCTCCCCGGGATGTTTAACGACTTGGGCAGCCATTGCAACAGTGGAATTGGCACTGCAGCAAGCTGAGCATTTTTTCGGTTCCAAGTTTCCCACAACACAATGGCTCCAGGCCAGGCGCCTCTGGGCGTTCCAGGTCAGAGGGGGAGCAGGGGCTGGGGGCCGCTGCCTCAGTGCTTCTGGGATGGGGTCCTGGCTTGGAGCCCCAATCCAGAGACTCAGCAGCCCTGCCCCGGCAGAGCCTAGCGGAGCACGTTGGGAACCCTGTGGACACTGCACACAGCACCCTCTGTCCTCACGGAGCCTGGGGCTGCTGCAGGGCCGTGGGAAAGAAGTTATAAATCCTTGGGTGCTGGAACCCCCGGGTGCTGGGCACCTTGATTCCAAGGCTGGTGCCTTCTTTCCTTCTGCAAGAGTGGGGGGTGGAAGACAGCCGGCCAGAGGCTGGGAAGCCTGCACAGGGGAGGGCAGGAGGGCGTGAGCCTGGCTAGCCCCACCTCCAGGCACAGAGGCCCTCCCGCCGCCCGCAGCTCCAGCCGCACTGCCCCGATGGCTCCCTACCCCTGTGGCTGCCACATCCTGCTGCTGCTCTTCTGCTGCCTGGCGGCTGCCCGGGCCAACCTGCTGAACCTGAACTGGCTTTGGTTCAATAATGAGGACACCAGCCATGCAGCTACCACGATCCCTGAGCCCCAGGGGCCCCTGCCTGTGCAGCCCACAGCAGATACCACCACACACGTGACCCCCCGGAATGGTTCCACAGAGCCAGCGACAGCCCCTGGCAGCCCTGAGCCACCCTCAGAGCTGCTGGAAGATGGCCAGGACACCCCCACTTCTGCCGAGAGCCCGGACGCGCCAGAGGAGAACATTGCCGGTGTCGGAGCCGAGATCCTGAACGTGGCCAAAGGCATCCGGAGCTTCGTCCAGCTGTGGAATGACACTGTCCCCACTGAGAGCTTGGCCAGGGCGGAAACCCTGGTCCTGGAGACTCCTGTGGGCCCCCTTGCCCTCGCTGGGCCTTCCAGCACCCCCCAGGAGAATGGGACCACTCTCTGGCCCAGCCGTGGCATTCCTAGCTCTCCGGGCGCCCACACAACCGAGGCTGGCACCTTGCCTGCACCCACCCCATCGCCTCCCTCCCTGGGCAGGCCCTGGGCACCACTCACGGGGCCCTCAGTGCCACCACCATCTTCAGGTAGAGCTTCTCTCTCCTCCTTGCTGGGCGGGGCCCCTCCCTGGGGAAGCCTGCAGGACCCAGACAGCCAAGGACTCTCGCCCGCCGCAGCCGCTCCCAGCCAGCAGCTCCAACGCCCTGACGTCCGCCTGCGCACGCCACTTCTGCACCCCCTGGTGATGGGCTCCCTGGGCAAGCACGCGGCCCCCTCCGCCTTCTCCTCTGGGCTCCCGGGCGCACTGTCTCAGGTCGCAGTCACCACTTTAACCAGGGACAGCGGTGCTTGGGTCTCCCACGTGGCTAACTCTGTGGGGCCGGGTCTTGCTAATAACTCTGCCCTGCTCGGGGCTGACCCCGAGGCCCCCGCCGGTCGCTGCCTGCCCCTGCCACCCTCCCTGCCAGTCTGCGGCCACCTGGGCATCTCACGCTTCTGGCTGCCCAACCACCTCCACCACGAGAGCGGCGAGCAGGTGCGGGCCGGGGCACGGGCGTGGGGGGGCCTGCTGCAGACGCACTGCCACCCCTTCCTCGCCTGGTTCTTCTGCCTGCTGCTGGTCCCCCCATGCGGCAGCGTCCCGCCGCCCGCCCCGCCACCCTGCTGCCAGTTCTGCGAGGCCCTGCAGGATGCGTGTTGGAGCCGCCTGGGCGGGGGCCGGCTGCCCGTCGCCTGTGCCTCGCTCCCGACCCAGGAGGATGGGTACTGTGTGCTCATTGGGCCGGCTGCAGGTAACTGGCCGGCCCCGATCTCCCCACCCTTTCCTTTTTGCCTTGCCAGGTAAGTGTGGGCGGGGCTGACGTGAGCCTGGTACAGGTTCCCCCCACATCGAATCTCTACGTTCAGGGGCCCGTGGCCCTCGGGAGGTGGGAGAGCTGGGAGTGAGGCCTCCTGTGTGGGGAGGAGGCCGGCGTCTGGACAGGAAGAGGGCTGGATGAACCGCAGCCGATGTGTCCAGGTGCCACCTGGGCCTGGAGCTCCCTGAGCATTTTAGCGCATTTAGTCCTCAGCACGGTCCCGAGATACCCTGCCATGCCCCGAGTCACAGAGGGGAAACTGAGGCGTGGGGCAGTGGCGTGACTCACCCCAGGGAGCCGAGATTCCCGCTCAGGTGTGGCTGCATCGACCTTGCTCCGGTCACTAAGCTGCACGGTTCGATGCGCTTCCTGGGAGCCCCAGCGTGCTCGGGCCAAGGGTGCTGCCGCGTGGGCAGTGCAGAGACCCTACCAGCGTGGGGACCAGGGAGGTCTGCAGGGCCCGTCCTGAGAGGGAGCCTTTCATGTCCCCCTCCCCATCCTGAAGCACACAGCCTCCCTGCCACAGTGGGGGCCGCTTCTGGGCCCAGGGGACGTTGCCCCATCACCGTGTGGCCTGGCCTTGTTGCTGGCTGGACAGTTGGGGGCAGGAAGAGGAGGGAAAGGGGGACTCTTTAACCTCCTGGGGGCAGGGGCAGCCCAGAAAGGACCCCAGCAGATCCCTCCTCTGTGTCCGGGAGTAGACGGGGCCCCTGAGCTGTGCCTGCCCCATTCAGATTCTGCTTGCTATGTGCACCTGGCAGCCTTGGCCCAGAGGCCCTATCCCCGCAGGGTGAGGTGCTCTGTCCTCCTCTGCTGTCCTCCCCATAGTGCCGAGGGGAAGCAGCCTTGCTGTTTGCTCTTTGGGCTTTGGGACAGGGTTGGTGGGGGTTAGCAGCTGTGCCGGACCTGGAGGTGGGGGTGCCTGCAGTGGAAATTCTGGTGGACGCCCACCCACCAGGCTCCGTGAGGGATGACGAGCTTGGTGATTCCCCTTGAGTTTCAGGCCAGTGACCGTTTCTCTCAGCAAAGCCCAGAGCCTCTGCAGACCCTGTGTGGGGCCTGGGGAGTGGCCGGGGGGCCACAGACAGGGCAGGGACAAGTGCTGACAACAGGTGGTCCCAGGAGTAAAGCCCACGTGGGCTGGAATGGAGGGGCAGGGAGGGAGGGAGGGAGGGAGGGCTGCAGCGGGGCCTGGCTGAGCCTGAGGGGGGCACAGGAACTGCGCTGGGGGGGCCTGGTGTGTGCAGGAGTGGGGGCCCTTGTGGATGCGCCCCAGAAGCATAGGGCTGGAGCTCTCCGAGGCAGGGGCCGTGCCCGCGGCTGTTGGCATCTCGTAGGGCTGGAGCTCTCCCAGGCAGGGACCGTGCCCACGGCTGTTGGCATCTCGTAGGGCTGGAGCTCTCTGAGGCAGGGGCCGTGCCCACGGCTGTTGGCATCTCATAGGGCTGGAGCTCTCTGAGGCAGGGGCTGTGCCCGCGAATGTTGGCATCTCAGGGCTTAGATGTCACCCCCAGGGCAGCTGGCACTGCCACAAGCAGCCAGATTCCTGGGTCCCACTCATCCTCCGTCCCTGGAACACCCAAATGCCCAGCAAGCACCAGCCGCCTTGCAGGCAACCCCCCCGGAGCCACACCCCACCTGGCTACTGTTCCCCACCAAGCATGTGGGTAGGGCAGCCTTGCAGGAGCCGTACTGACTGGAGGGACCCGGGTCCGGTGTCCTGGAGCCCCGGGAGGCTCCAGCACAGCCCACCTTGTCCTCCACTGCAAGCCCACGGAGGCAGACAGGACAGCGGTGGGCTGGGAGGGCTGCAGCCTGTGGGAGGGGAAACGCCAGGCCTGCACACCTGACCCTGCCCTAGCCCTGCCAGCCCGAGACTGTCTGGGATCAGCTGAGCACTGTGAGCAAGCTTCAGCCTCAGGGAAGGTGCCGGTCTCCTGGGAGTTGGGGCACAGCTGCATGGCTTGGGGGCTGGGGTCCGAGTGGGGCTGTGAGGGCGAGGAATTTCTGCAACTGCAGCTGGCCCGGTCGGTGGCACAGCCTGATGGGGACTTTTCACTGAACATCTGGACAGCTTGGTAGCGTCCCCGTGCGAGGGAGGCCGTGTCCCGTGCAGGGTCCTGGGGGACTCCATCAGCGTTCCTGGCCTGCATTGCCTCTGGCCAGGGGTGGGCCTCAAGCTTTATCAAGGAGCCCCTTCCCAGGTGTGGCCTGGCCGGGAGGGTCCTGCCCCCTCTTCTGGCCTCTCAGCTCCTCCCCAGCCCAGGCTCCTCTTGGGTTAGCCCCAACTCCTGCCGGACCCCTATGTTGGGCTGGACACTCCCAGCCCTGGGTGAGGGGCAGGAGGAGGAGGGGGAGCCCAGCCTGACCCCTCGGGCAGACTTCGAGGCCCCGAAAGTGGGGGTGCTGGGCTGTGATCCGGGCACCAGAACAGAGCCCTCGAGGCCCACAGAGGTCCCTGGCTGCATCTCCAGGGATCAGGGAGTATGTGCCCCTGAGGGGAGGGGAGCTGGAGGGGTCCTGCTGCCTCCTGCCCGGCTCCATCTCCAGCGCCCCCTCCACCTCGTCCTGGGCACTGCCCTGTGTGTCCACCCCGCCGGCCCACCTCGAGGAGAGTGTGGGGGACAGTGCAGCCGTGCTGGGGCGTGGGGGGCGCTCAAAGGGAGGGTGAACCCTGTGGTCAGCACACAAGCAGGGACCCTGTGGAGGGTTTTGCTGTGTTGTGGGCTTGTCCCTCAGGTCCACGAGGAAGGGAGTGAGGCCCCCTCACACGGGAGGGCCGGGGTGGGGTAGGGAGGCTCCCTTGCTGCAGCTGCCAAGAGTGAGCGAGCGGGGCTTGGGCTTGGGCTGCCCGGGACACTGCCTCCAGGAAGCCCCCTGGGCTGTCTCAGTGGGACTCTGTGAGTGACACATGGAGCTCAGGTCACAAGGGCTGTGGGAGTGTCACCCCACAACAGCAACGGGTGCCTGGCCCTCTGGACTTTGCTCTCTACACCCCTCCTGAGCTCTCACAAACCCTGGCCCCTGGGACCGGAGGCAGGTGATGTTTCCAAGGAGTCCTACAGGCAAGCATCCTCTGACCTGGGAGCTGCGTATTGTTCCCGTTTACAGGTGAGAAACTGAGGCCTAGGAAGGACAGACACGTGTGCGTGCCGCAAGTGTGGCTAGCAAGGAGGGAGCCTGGAGGAGGGCCCAGCAGCCTGGCCCCAGAGCGCTCTTCAGCATCGCAGCAGATGCAGGACAAGCAAGCTCCCAGCCGGGGAGCACCAGGAGACCAGCAGGCATCCACCCTCGTGGTGCAGGCCATCTGATGAGGGCAGGGACCAGTGCCGGGATGGATAGTGCCTGTGCACAGAGTGGGGCGCAACTGGGCACAGCTGCCACCGGGGTGCTCGGGAGGCAGGTCCACACACACGCCGGCCAAGTCGCTCATCTCAAATGCACGAGTCCCGTGATCTTGGAAAGTGGTGCACAGGCCCCTGGGCTGGGGCTTCCTCTGCCTCCACCCCCATCACTGGACATTCGGAGGTCAGTGGGAGGCCACGGGAGTGCACGTGAAGGTCATGTCACCATGATGGCCCCGAGGGGCTGCTCCTTCATCGCTCCTCCCTACCCCATGGGCCAGCCACTGGCACACAGGTGTCCTTATATGGTGCTTACCTCTTGCTCCTTTAGTCAAATGCAGAATTTGAGAAAATGTCCCTTCTCCTTAAAATGCTTTGATTTGTTTGATGTTTCCATGTAACTTTGGTTTAAGAAGGGAGAAGACCACTCTGGGAAATAACTCATGCTTATCTCTCACCGCTTGGCAACCTACAAATATTTTTTCGATGATGCTGGCTAAGCTTCTCGTAAATTCTCCATGCCTCTTAGATGCACCAAGAGTGACTCAGCATTTAACTCCTACTGGAGTGTCAAGGGCCCAGTGCATTGGGTGCAGTTGTCTGTGGGTACAAGATCTTGTGTGATTCTGAACTAAGCACAGACAGAATGAAAAGCACAGCACTCCAAACAGGGCTTCCTGCAGGTCCTTTTACGTATATTTGGGTTTTTGTATATATCTAAGGTCAAGCTAGTGGACATCTATCACTTCAACCAGTTACCGTTGTGAGTGTGGTGAGAAAACTTAAGATCTACTCAAGTTTGAAGTGCCATATGCGATACAGTATTCTAGCTGTAATCACCATGTGTACATTAGACCTCTAGAACTTACTTTTCCTGCATAACTGAAACTTTGTACCCTTCGACCAACAGTCACATTTCCTCTTCTCTGTGGGCTGGCCTCGGCTGTGCCCTGTTAGCATTCCCAGATAAACAAAAGCTAAGGGGGTTAATTGCCACTAGACCTTCCCTGCAGGAAATGGTCCAGTAGTCCAACAGGCGAAATGAAAGGACACTACTCAGTAACAGTAAGTCAAGGAGGCCCCCGTTGCCTATGCACAGAGTGGGGTGGCAGCTGTGCCCCATTGCACCCCACTCTGTGCATGGGCACCGTCCATCCGGCACCAGTCCCTACCCCTTATCAGATGGCCTGCACCATTAGGGTGGACACCTGCTGGTCTCCTGGTGCCCCCCTGCAGGGCTCTTCCTTGTCCTGCATCTGCTGCAATGCTGAAGAGCAGTCTGGAGCCAGGCTGCTGGGCCCCCCTCGAGGCTTCCTTGCTAGCCACATCTGTGGCACACACGCATATTTGTCCTTCCTAGACCTCAGCCCCTGACAACCACCATTCTACTCTGCTCCTATGAATGTGACTTTTTTAGATCCCACATGTGAGATCATGCAGTATTTGCTTCTATGCCTGCCTTATTTCCTTTAGTTTAATATCCTCCAGGTTCATTCATAAAAAGTGCAGTTACAAACTGTTGTTGCAATACCAGCTTTTATAATTGCCCATGTATTTACCTTTATTGAGATCTTCATTTCTTCATGTGACTTACTGTTATTGACTAGTGTCCTTTCATTTTACCTGCTGGACTCCCTGGACCATTTTCTGCAGGGCAGGTCTAGTGGCAATTAACTCCCTTAGCTTTTGTTTATCTGGGAATGCCAATTTCTCCCTCACTTTTGAAGGACAGTTTTACTGGATATAGGACTCTTGGTTAACAGTTTTTTTTTTCTTTTAGTACATTGAATATATTGGTCCACTGCCTTTTGGCTTCCAAAGTTTCTGTGACAAATCTGCTGATAATCTTATTAAGAAGCCCTTGGATGTGATCAGTTGCTTTTCTCTTGCTGCTTTCCAGATTCTCTCTCTGTTTTTGAAAGTTTGATGATAATGTAACTTGGTGTGAGTCTCTTTGAGTTTACCTTACTTGGAGTTCCCTGAGCTCTTAACTGTTTATATTCATGTCTCCCAACAAATTTGAGAAGCTTTCAGCCATTATTTCTTCAGATAGTCTCTCTGCACCTTTCTTTTTCTCTTCTGTTTGCAGCTTCCACGGCATGCATGCTTCCTTGTCTCTTGATGGTGGCCACAAGCCCCTTAGGCTCTTTTCACCTTTCTTTCATCTTTTGTCTTTGAAAATTTCCATTATCTTATCTTCAAGCTCATTAATTTATTCTTTTGTCTGCTCAAATCACCTTCAGATTCCTCTAGTGATGTTTTCAATTTCAGCTATTGTACTTTTCAGTTCTGTAATTTCTTTCTGGTTTCTTTCAAGGTTTTTATATTGATATTTCCATGTTGTTCATACATCACTTTCTTGACTTTCTCCACACCTTCCTGTAGTTCTTTGAGCATCTTTAAGACAGTCATTTTAAAGTCTTTGTCTAGTAGATCTGCCATCAGGTCTTTTGCAGAGACAGCTTCTGTTAATTTATTTTTCTCCTTTGAATGTGCTATATTTTCTTATTGCTTTGTGTGCCTTGTGATTTTGTGTTAAAAAGTGAACATTTGAACTCAGTAATGTGGCTCTTGAATTTTGCCCTTCACCAGCGTTCGCTTTTTTTTGTTACTTTTTAAAAAATGTTTTGTGTCTGTGCCAGAAATCTCCCTTAGGTGTGAACTTCAGGTCTTCTCAGGTCTTTTCTGAGCCTGTCCCTTTCCCTGGGTGTGTGCAGCCACTTTCTAATTTTCCTCTTACATGCTGCTGTTTTTCAATGTCCCGTTCTTTCATGTTTGGCTCCCAAAGGAGGAATAAGATAAAAATGAGGGAGAAAAAACAGTGCCAGCCCTCTAAATCCCCTTCAAGTCACTTCAGCTGGAAGGGGCAGCTTGCAACAACAGAGGGAGTGTAAAACAATGGCCCCACCTCCCTGTCTGCACATCTGTGATCCCAGGCAACCTGATCAGAGCACAGGTTCTCGATGTCTGCAGGACAGGGTCCTTTTTGCCGTCCTGTTTCCCACAAGCTGTGTGGCTGCTGCTCCAGGAACTCGTGCATGGCACCTGCTATGGGAATGGGGGTGGAGGATGGATGTGTGGCTGCTATTGTGCCAAGAGCTGGGGTTTAGCTAAATTAACCACCCGTTACCGTCCAAGCCTTCCTGTGGACATTGCAAGCTTTCAGTAGACTCCAGAGTTCCAAAAGAGTTCTAAGACAAATTCTGCCCATGCACTTGTTAATTAGTTGGGGAGATGGATTCCTGGCGCTTTCCATCTGCCATTTACCAGAGTACTCCAGAATCATTTTCAAACACGTTTCTTTCTGTCAAGAAATCAAGTCTTGGCCAGGCATGGTGGCTCACGTCTGTAATCCCAGCACTTTGGGATGCCGAGGCATGCGGATCGCCTGAGGTCGGGAGTTGGAGACCAGCCTGACCAACACGGAGAAACCCCATCTCTACTAACAATACAAAATTAGCTGGGTATGGTGGTGCATGCCTGTAATCCTAGCTACTCGGGATGCTGAGGCAGGAGAACTGCTTGAACCTGGGAGGTGGAGGTTGTGGTGAGCTGAGATTGCACCACTGTACTCCAGCCTGGGCAACAAGAGCGAAACTCCATCTAAAAAAAAAAAAGAAAAGGAAAGAAATCAAGTCTTGAGGCATCATCATTGTTATATCATGTGCAGGTGTCTAGCCTGGATGCCACCCAGCTATGCCAAATGCGGGGAGAAACTCCCTATGGGCACTGTGGCTGGGTCCAGAGCTCAGAGGCTGGAGCTTTGAGAACTGGGCTGGAGCCAAACCATGATGGAAGCCTCTAGCTCTCAGGAAGAGACACACATCTGCGGGGGCAGAGTGACCACATTTCCAGGTTGCCCAGCCCTCGGGAGTAGCACAGTGCCCAGGCACTGGGGCAGAGGTGGATCCCGTAGTCCCTCGGTGGGAGCTCCAAAGCCTCCCGTTTTCATCTCTTCCTCTTCCCAGGATGGGATTTTGGGGATGAGATCTTCCTGGTGGGCTGGAGTCTGTCCCAGAAGTCAACAGCCCAACCTGGGGCCAAAAAAGACCCTCTTAGATAAGGCAGGCCCTCGGCAAGACTCCAGCCACACATGAGAGGGTGGAACAGAGCTCCTGAGTCCCACTAACCACGGCCACCTGCAGTGGTCAGGTGGGGGCACCGTGTCCATCCCCCCATGGGTTTGTGCCAATTTGCATATAGGTATGTAGCTTCCTATTGGCGACTGTAAGAAATTGCCACAAATTCAGTGGCTTAAACCAACACAGCTGTCTTACCTTTCAGTTTTGGAGGTCAGAGTCTGAAACCAGTTCACTGGGCTGAAACCAAGGTGTTGTCAGGGCTGGGTCCCTCTGGGACTCTGGAGGAGAATCTGTTTTCTTGACTTTTCCAGCCTCTAGAGGCTGCCGCTTCCCTTCGCTCAAAGCCCCTTCTTCCCCCTTCAAAGCCAACGGTGTTGGACAAGTCCTCATGGTGCCATCTTTTGTCCTTCGATTTTAAGGCTTTGTGTGGTTAGAAGTGGATCATCTCCCATCTCCAGGTCCACAGCCTGAGTCCCAGCTGCAGCATCCCCTTGCCACGTAAAATTACGCTTGTGGGTTCCAGCTGTTGTGCCGTGGACATCCTTGGGGCCATGGCTCTGCCCACCACAGTTTGTCCATGTGCACGGCTGCACATGTGTACATATGCATGGGAGTCTTACTTTGCATTAATGGGATTGCCCTGTGTCTGAAAGTTCCTCTTTCCTTTATCCTGCATCTCAGGAGTCTCCATAACTCCAGGGAGATGCTCTGCTCTTCGTGTTGTTCTGGTCTTTTCCTCAGCCCTTCCTGACTGAAGCACTCGCAGGTATTTCTGCTTCTCTGTATAACAGATGACCCTGCAGACACCTGCTCAGCCCCGACTGGCGGGTTCATCGCACAGCCTCGCCTTTGTTTATCAGACACCAGCTGAGCCACCCCACCTGTGCCTGGCGTGGGTTTTGGGTCAGCGCTGACGGTGGAGAGATTGAATGTTGTAAACGTGTCCGAGTGTCAACAGGAAGTCTCCACCCGGGGACAGGGGCCCGTTTCTTAGGTTGTTTTTAGCCTTCCGTGGGGGCTCTGCAGCCTTGGGATTTGGTGGAGGTGTTTGTTCTGAGGCCGTTTTTCTTTGATGCCAAGATGTCCCCCCGGGCACTTCACTGCGTAAGTGCTATGGTGTGATGGAGTGATGATGGTGGCGCACTCTTCAAGCTCTGGATCAGGTTCCGGAAGCTCTGTGTGAGTCTTACTGAGGTGGTTATTTTCTCTTTTCCCTGGAAAGTGGGCTGAGAGCACTCCATGTGGGCACGAGCGGCCCTGGCTCTGCAGGACTGGAGGGGGCTGTGCTGGAGGGCGGGGGGCTGGCCAGGCAGCCTTGGATCTTGTCCTCAGGAGCCCTTCAAAGGGGCAGCAGAGACTCCAGGCCCTGTGCCCCGAGGAGTCAGGCTGGGCTGGTTCTGGGGAGTGTCTGGAGCACCTGATGCTGAGCACAGGCGGGCGTCCGTGGAGTGCACGTGTCTGAGGGTCTCTGAGGGGTTTGCCCTTTTCTTCGGAGCCACGGTGGCCGTGAGGGATGCAGGACATTGGGTGTGGCCCTCGAGGACTGGCCTGTCTGGAGCCCACTCCCCCGTGGGTGAACGCGGCTCTTGGTGGAGAGCCCAGTTTGGGGAGAAGGGACGGTCTTGTCCTGGGAGGTGTCAGACAAAGCCGAGCATGGGACTCACAGGAGACCCCCAGTCAGGCCGTGTCAGGGTGAGGCTGGGAGTGAGGGTCCTGGAAAGTCCGGCTTCTGGGAGAGGGCGCTTTGGCTCAGAGGCTGCCACTGCAGAAGGGATGGACGTCCCCGGTCCCCTAAGATAAGGGACCCAAGGGGAGGGGCGGGGACGTTCCACACTGGTGTGAGAACAGCGGAGAGTCCCAGCCAGAGGTACCCGCTGCTCTCCTGCGGGGAGGATGCTGGCTGCACTGTCTGTCCTGGGCATATTTAAAGGGGCCTCTGTTAACACACACAGGCCTCCAGAACCATCCACACTTCTGGCTGGCCTGATTCCTGAGGGGGAAATGGTCTTTAAAGAAGCAAGCACCTTGATCCAAAGGGAGGTGGTCCAGCAGGAGGGGCCGCCCCACCATACCCAGGAAGGTTGAGCTCTCGCACCCGGGAAGGCTGAGCTCTCGCACCCGGGAAGGCTGAGCTCTCGAAATGGGGTTCAGGCATTTGCTGTTTGATTCCAGGACATCTGAGACAGCTGGGCCTGTACCTCGGGGAGTGGAGGCTGCGCCATTCTCTGCCCATCCAGCATCTTAGGGCCGGGCATTTGGAAGCTGGCTTCTGAAGGGAGCCCCCAGGAGCTTCGTGGAGAGGAGACGGGACAGCTTTGGAAAGGGCGTTGCTGTCACTGGGGTCCCTGGGGCCGCCGGTGTAGCGTGCTGGTACCCTCCAGCCCAGGAAGGTGGCAGCTGCCGCATCTTGCTTTCCCAATGACGGAATGTTCTAGGAAGGGTGGTGGGAGGTTTCTCCAAGGTGAACGCGGGGGCAGCTGGGTGGCTGGCACGGCCTCTGGCCCCCAGGCCGAGTCCTGTTTCCTGATCTTATCACAGCCCCAGCTTGGACATGTGGGACCAGGCACTTCTTATGAGAAAAAGGATCATTGTAACAGCTGCCATCTGGATGGACGATCATTGTAACAGCTGCCATCTGGGTGGACGGCGGCCTCTGTCTGAGGGGGATGTGACCGCTGGCCCCCAGAGCCCAGGCTCAGCCCGTTGGGACCCCTCTGCCCCTGGCCCAGACTGTGGCTGCAAAGCCCGGGCTCTGCCTGGCACGGCAGGTGTGCTGGGAAGTCACTCTGAGCAGGGTCTGCCCTTGAGTGGGTGCTGCCCCCCTCCCGTGGGCAGGAAACGAGGTGTGAGAACTCTGGGCACCGGGGCTGCGTCCTGGCTTGGGCTCCCTGGGCGAGGGATGGACAGGGCTCCTTCTGACCCTGGGCTACTGAGTCGAAGTGAAGTCAAGCTCCGCCTGGGCAGGAATGAGTGGAGTGAGTCACCCGGCGCTGTGGGGCATTTGCACGGAGCAGCGGGGCTGGTGGGGAGACTGTGGCACGTTGGCAGGTACGTCAGGCATGCAGCCCCTCCAAGGGGTGATTGTGGCCCCGAGGGGAATCAGCATGGGGGGGATGGGGAGATACAGCTTGTCCTTGCCACATGAAGCACCTGGCCCAGCAGGTGAGCCGGTGACCGACAGCGCTGGGTGAAATCCCGCACCGTGTCCTCAGATGCCACGTGGAACCCCAGCTGAGGCAGCCACTCTGGGCGACGCCCCGTAGCCGAGGCTTCGAAGAACACTGGGGTGTGGGGTCAGCCTCCCTCCTTCCCTGTGGTGGAACTGTGGCTTCACAGTGGAGGCCAGGCTGGGGTGCCGGCCTGGGCTGCTCCAGCAGGGTCAGAGTGGGCGGGCAGGGCACAGGGCCGGGCGGGAAGGCTGCCAGCCCCAGCCCCTCACAGCTCCTTGCCCCAGCGGGGGTGCCGGCCAGTCCCTGGTCCCTTCTCCCCACTGGCTCTGCCCATCAATGCTCAAAGCATGGAAGGGGAAGCCTGTGGACACCATGTCTGCTGTGCCCATCCCTGCTCAAAGCATGGAAGGGGGCCTGTGGACACCATGTCCCGTGCAGACACCATGTCTCCTGCAGACACCATGTCCCCTGCACACAGGTTTCTGCATGGAGCCTGCCTGTCGTTTGGGAATGAGTGAACCAGGGTGGCCGTTGGGTGGCTGAGCCCAGGGGATCAGGGCAGGCTGCCAGGCACGTGGAGAGCCCTCCCAGACTCAGTTTCTCCTTTCTGCCCCTGCCTGGCTGCCTCTCCAGGCCGCGTCGGTGGCCCCTGGTTCCGTCCTGCACAGCCACCTCACCAGCTGTCTTTCTTTTTGCAGAGCGCATCAGCGAGGAGGTGGGGCTGCTGCAGCTCCTTGGGGACCCCCCGCCCCAGCAGGTCACCCAGACGGATGACCCCGACGTCGGGCTGGCCTACGTCTTTGGGCCAGATGCCAACAGTGGCCAAGTGGCCCGGTACCACTTCCCCAGCCTCTTCTTCCGTGACTTCTCACTGCTGTTCCACATCCGGCCAGCCACAGAGGGCCCAGGGGTGCTGTTCGCCATCACGGACTCGGCGCAGGCCATGGTCTTGCTGGGCGTGAAGCTCTCTGGGGTGCAGGACGGGCACCAGGACATCTCCCTGCTCTACACAGAACCAGGTGCAGGCCAGACCCACACAGCCGCCAGCTTCCGGCTCCCCGCCTTCGTCGGCCAGTGGACACACTTAGCCCTCAGTGTGGCAGGTGGCTTTGTGGCCCTCTACGTGGACTGTGAGGAGTTCCAGAGAATGCCGCTTGCTCGGTCCTCACGGGGCCTGGAGCTGGAGCCTGGCGCCGGGCTCTTCGTGGCTCAGGCGGGGGGAGCGGACCCTGACAAGTTCCAGGTAACCCCCACTGTGCCGTCGCTGGGGGAC